>NC_000001.11:247244727-247396242 GCF_000001405.40 Homo sapiens | reverse complement strand
CCACACCCAGCTAATTTTTTTGTAGAGATGGGGTTTCACTATGTTGCCCTGGTCTCAAACTCCTGGGATCTAGTGATCCTCTCACCTGGGCCCCCCAAAGTGCTGGCATTATAGGCGTGAGCCACTGCGCCAGGCTCTAGACTGTCTCAAAGTACAGAGCAATATGTTCATTTATATCTTGATTAGCCTCCTTGTCTCATGCGCTGGTACTTTCAGTCACATGGGTTTTTAGGAGAGTGTATAAATCAATTTTGACAGAACCAAAAAATACTTGGTTTTGAAAAAGCATGAGAAAAAGTTATTTCGTTCTACATACAAAAAAAAATCGAGCATATGTCTGTGTGTCCAAAATTCAGTTTTTAGGTGCTTTTATTTGTGCAAATACAAGGAAAGGGGTATTTAGTAACATAGCCATCTTTCTGGAAGGATTTATAAGAATTTGGGTAACAGTGTTTGCCTCTGGAGAGAGGAACTGAGAAATTGGGAAACTAGAGATCTGAATTTTTTTAAAAAAATTGTTTTTCATTGTGTTCCATTTATAGCATTTTAATTTTTAGGCCCTGTGCATGTACAAATAAAAATAAGATTTTGAATAATTAAAAACAATAAATAGTAGGAACACTTAAAAGAAAGAATTATTGGCTGGGCGTGGTGGCTCACGCCTGTGATCCCAGCACTGTAGGAAGCCGAGGCGGGTGGATCACAAGTCAGGAGTTTGAGACCAGCCTGGCCAACATGGTGAAACCCCGCCTCTACTGAAAAATACAAAAATTAGCTGGGCGTGGTAGCACACGCCCGTAGTCCCAGCTACTCAGGAGGCCGAGGCAGGAGAATGGCTTGAACCCAGGAGGCAGAGGTTGCAGTGAGCTGAGATCACGCCACTGCACTCCAGCCTGGCGACAGAGCAAGTTTCCATCTCAAAAAAATAAATAAATAAATAAAATGAAATAAAATGAAATAAAATAAAATAAAATAAAATAAAATAAAATAAAATAAAATAAAATAAAATAAAATGGAGATGAGGTCTCCACACGTTGCCCAGGCTGGTCTTGAACTCCTGGGCTCAACAACCTTCAGGCCTCGGCCTGCCAAAGTGCTGGAATTACAGGCATGAGCCACAGCACCTGGCTGACATATAAGCTTTTGAAAAGCTAGAAGCAAATTCCCCGAAGTGGGGACAATTCTAGTTGTGTAGTAAAACAATAGATTAGACTTTTCTTTTTTCTAAATTTCTGTATTTTCGCATTTAAGTTATTGTGTCTTCTTTTTGCTTCATTATTTCAAATAACACATCATACAATATTACATATGATAGTGATTTAAGATTAGGGAATTTATTTATGTGGTGATACATATTTTATGACCCCATAATATGTGTGAATTGAAAGCCAGAACCATGACTATTGTGAAGCTAACAGACCTGCTGTGGTCTAAATATTTGTGTCCCCTCTAAATTCATGTTAAAATCTAGTCACCAAGGTGATGATATTTGGAGGTGGGAACTTTGGAAGGTGATTGGGTCATAAGTGTGCAGCCTTCATAAATGGCGTTAGTGCCTATAAAAGAGACCTCCAAGAGCTGCCTTGCCCCTTCCATTAGGGTATAGAAACACAGCAAGAAAACACCATCTGTGAATTAAGAAATGGGTTCCCACCAGGCACTGAGTCTATTTGTGCCTTGATCTTGAACTTCCAGCCTCCACAACTGTGGGAAATCCATTTCTATTGTTTATCAGCACCCCCAGTTCATGGTATTTTATTAGAGTAGCCTGAATGGACGAGATGGCCTTCATCGGGTCTTTTCACCATTATGGGCCCAACCGCAGCTCAATATCATTAGAGGAGAAAAAACACTGACCTCCTGCAGGCCATGCAAGAAGGCAAATGGAAATATTGGTAATATTCATTTATAGTGGACTGACTGTGCCCCACTAAAATTCATGTGTTGAAATCCCCAGTGTGATGGTATTAGGAGGTGAGAACTTTGGGAAGTAATTAGCTCACAAGAATGGAGCCCTCTTGAATGGTATTAGTGTCCTTATAGGAAGAGGCCAGAGAGCTCTCTTGCCTCTTTCTGCCATGTGAGGATACAACAAAAAGTTGGCAGTCTGCAACTTGGAAGACAGCCCTCACCAGAGCCTGACCATGCTGGAGCTCTGATCTTGGTTTTCCAGCCTCCAGAACTGTGACAAATAAATTTCTGTTGTTGATAAGCTACCCAGTCTGTGGACCTTGTTATAGCAGCCCAAATGGACTGAGACACCATTTAAAGAACAAAAGAGCAAAACTCCCAAATGGAAAGCTTAATATGTGATTAAGCATTAAAAAATGCAATTCTTATTAGTAACCTGAGAGGAAAGCAAGCTAGATATTCAATATGCTTTAAGTTAGATATTCAATATGCTTTAATTTTTTTGAAATGGTAAATGACAAACAAAAAGTATCATCTACATATTGCAAAAGGGGCTGACACTATCTTAAAATATGTGAAAGTTAAGCTTGAGTTGTACAATTTGGGGGCAAATGTGACTGGGCACTGGGTGTTAGGTGAAGTGATCTATGGCCAACCAGCTGGCTTCTGACAGCAGGGGTGTTAGGGAGGAACCCCTGCCTTAGATTGCCCCAGGTTCTCAGCTCTTGTTCAGCATTTTCTTTCCAGAAAATAGGTCCTTTTATTCCATGTAAAAATTGCAAAGGTTTAAATTCACATAAATTATAAATGGATCCATCAGCACCATCTCTGAGGACAGATGTAGTCAAAAAGAAAGACGGTGTTTTCTGTTTGGAAGAAGAATCACGGCAGATGCAGAGCAGAGCTTAGACAGTGGAGCATGCAGAGGAGCTCTCTTGGCTTCCATCATCTTGCTTCTGGTCAGCCTTGATGAGAGGTAGAGTCCTGGAGCTGGAGGTGGATGTACAGGGAACAATCATAAAAGAGGAGGGAAGGGAGGATGCTTGCCTATTCCCAGGATCAAAAGTAGACATGTAGGCCAGGCATGGTGGCTCATACCTGTAATCCCAACACCCCGAGAGGCTGAGGCAGGAAGATCACTTGAGGCCAGGAGTTTGAGACCAGTCTGGGCAACATAACAACAGTCTGTCTCTACAAAAAATATATATATATTTAAAAAACAAATTAGCTGGGCATGGTGGCATGGACTTGTAGTCCCAAGCTACACAGGAGGCTGAGGCAGAAGGATCTCTTGAGCCCAGGAGTTCAAGGTTACAGTGAGCCATGATTGTGCCACTGCACTCCAGCCTGGGTAACAGTGTGAGACCCTGTCTCAAAAAAAAAAAGCAAGCATCTGCTCCTTTAAGATGCAGTAGACAGACCAGGCCGTGGTGACTCATGACTGTAATCCCAGCACTTTGAGAGGCTGAGGCAGGAGGATAACTTGAAGCCAAGAGTTCAAGACCAGCCTGGGCAATATAGTGGGACCTCTGTTTCTCCAAAAAAAAAAAAAAAATGCAGTAGATAAGAAGTCTCAGACTAGATGAATGCTCACTCAGTCTAAAGGCATTCACCAAGACACCATTGTGGGTGAGGCACAGAGAAGCTTTGTGTCCTCAGAAGGCCTCTCACACTCCGATACTTAAACTCACCTTCACACAGGTTCTTTCTACCATACAGCTGTAAGCACAGGTCCATGTCCAGGCCATGCTGCCTACAGTGTAGCATGTCTAAGATTCTTTTTCATAGTCCTGTAACTATTTTGTTCAAAGTACAATATTGTTGCAAGACATTTCCAAGTGTGATAGAATGTTAAAAAGGAAAAAAAAGTCCAGACTTTAATGTTACAGTGAACTGTGACAAAGATTCCCTCCTCTACCAAACTTCAGTCAGACTCCTCGGAATCTTCTCCTCAACCAGGCCTTGTCCTTGGCCCCCATCCTCTCATCAACCTGCCTAGCCCAGTTTTAGCAAGAATCCTGCTAAGTCATTCCCCACATTGATATCTGACTATTCTCATATCTGATTGGGTTGCTCATCCCTCACAATCCCCCAGGTGATATCTGATCACCCTGGCCTGTCTTCAGCAAGAATCCTGTTAGATCACTTTAGCAAGAATATCCCTACCCTTGTTAAGGAAAAATTATTCAATGGTACTTATTAAAGGATGGGAGGGCTGACTTTGTTCTGGACCCTTGTGATAAGTGTAGGTAACATGGCAGTGGGATCTAGCGGTGGGAGAGAGGTTGGGTCGGACTCCAAATACAACAAGGAAGAGGGGGTATTTATAACCAAAGAGAAGGGTGGGGGTCAGTAGATAAAAAATTACGAAGAGGAAATATCAGGGGTAAGGGGGTTCTGGTTGAACTGGCCTAACATACTCTTGCTGAAGGCAGGCCGGGGTAATTGAACATTGCCTGGGGGATAATGAAAAATAAGGAACCCAATCTGCCATTGAGGAGTCAGATACCAAGGATGAGGATATTCTTGTTAAACTGACTTAGCAGGATTCTTGTTAAAGCTGGATTTTATAAGGAAATGCACAGATGGGTCTAGGAGAAGGTTCAGGAGCCTGACTAAAGTTCTGTTAGGCCAGGTTCAGGAGTCTGATTAAAGTCTAACAGAATCTTTTTCACCTTTACTATATCCTCTTAGTAATCTCTGTCCACTGACTCCCAACCTGTTCCCTAGCCATAAATCCCAACGTTCCCTTGTTGCATTCAGGGTTGAGTCCATTCTCTCTGCTCTATTACAATACCCCTGCTGGAATCGTGCTAAATAAAGTCTCTGTTACCATTTCAAAAAGCATCGGAATATTTTTTTGAGAAGGGTCTCACTCTGCCACCCAGGCTGGAATGCAGTCGTGATTGATTATGGTTCACAGCCTCGACCTCCCCAGGTTCAAGCGATCTTCCAACCTCAACCTCCCAGGCTGCTGGGACTACAAGTGCACATCACAACCCACCTGGCTAATATTTGTACTTTTTGTAGAGACAGGGTTTTGCCATATTGCCCCAGGCTGGTCTTGAACTCCTTGGCTCAAGTGACATACCCGCCTTGGCCTCCCAAAGTGCTAGGATTACAGGTGTGAACCACTGCACCTGGACAGAGTATTTTTTCCTTTAATGATGACTGTGGCTGGGTGTGGTGGCTAATGCTTGTAATTCTAGTGCTTGTGGGAGGCTGAGAAGGGAGGATTGTTTGAGGCCAGGAGTTTGCGATTAGGCTGGCCACACCACACATAGCAAGACCGTATCTCTACAAAAACATGTTTAAAAAATTAGCCAAGCATGGTAGTGTGCACCTGTAGTCCCAGCTACTCAGGAGGCTGAGACAGAAGGATCTCTTGAGCCCAGGAGTTCGAGGCTGCAGTAAGCTATAATTGTGCCACTGCCCTCCAGGCTGGGTAACAGAACGAGACCCCCAATTCAAATAATAATAATAAAACAATGGCTGTCACTCAAGCTCCTGATGGTATAACATCAAAAGTCCCAGAGTGAAATCATTTTGCAAAAAAAAAAAAAACCCCAAACTTCCAAATTTTTCATTAGTCAAGTATTTTCATCACTGTCTTTTTTGTGCTCACAGAAATAAGCATATCATTGCTCAGTGTACTGGAATCTTGAGTTTTCTGTAAAAGGAAGTGTATTCGATGTAAACATTTAAAACACACCAGAGTTTCGTAACTCTGCTTTGTCATTTCTTTTTTTTTTTTTTTAATATACTGAGCTTCTAAAGATAAAAATAAGAAAGAAAACGGAAGTAGCCTGAAACTGCTGTTGCAATGTTTTTCCTAACCACACTGAGCTCGACTCTTTTCAGGAGCCCGACTCCAGCTGCTGCTGCAGCACATCTTGAGCTGGGGCATCCCCGCGTCTTAGACCTGACCTCGCTCTCTCCCCCTGGGACTGTATATGTAGCCCAGAGGCCTGGCCTTGGCTCACCTGCTTAACTGAGAGGAGAGTCCCTCATTTTGCTCCACTGGAGGTTCCTGCTACTCTCTTCTGCCCTCTGCTGGTCCTGGGTGTTAGTGACAATCATCCCTCTGCCCTCCCCAGGTTAAGAAGAGGAAGGAGGGAGAGCGGAGGACTGCGGAGCAGCACCAGCGGATGGAGAAAGCTAATTGCTGTAAAAAAGAGTACATGATTGGCGTCCCCGAAGTTTCCAGGACAGAAGTGAAGGGTGGGATATTGGGGAAAGACGGGGCTTGCTTGCATGAAACCTAATATAAAGAGGTGCTGGTATAAATGGAATGTCCGTGTCTCTGCCAAATTCATATGTTGAAATCTTAACCCCCCAGATGAGGGTATTAAGAGATGAGGCTTTGGAGAGGTGATTAGGTCATGTGAGTGGAGCCCCCTGAAGGGAGAATTAGTGCCCTTATAAAAGGGGCCACAGAGCAATCCCTTGTCCATTCCACCATGTGAGATTATAGCTAAGGAACATATATGGCCATCAGTAGCACAGAAAACGGGTCCTCACCAGACACCAGACCAGCCCAGACACCAGACCTGCTGGTGTCTTGATCTTGGAGTTCCCAGCCTTTAGAGCTGTGAGAAATAGATTTCTGTTGGGCCAGGTGTAGTACCTCACTCCTGTAATCCCAAATCTTTGGGAGGGCAAGGCAGGAGAATCACTTGAGGCCAGAAGTTTGAGACCAGTCTGGCAAAATAGAGAGACCTCATCTCTACAAAAAATTAAAAGTTAGCTGGGTATGGTGGCTTGTGCTTGGAGTCCCAGCTCCTTGGGAGGCTGAGGCAGGAGGACTACTTCAGCCCAGGAGTTTGAGGTTGTGGTGAGCTATGATCAATCATATTACAGTCCAACCTGGGTGTCAGAATGAGACCCTGTCTCAAAAAACAAACAAAAAAAAATCCTGTTGTTTATAAGCCACCCAGTCCATGGCAGTTTGTTACGCACTGAAACACAGGAGGTGGGGAAGAATGAGTCGAGGAGGACACAGGTGGGAGTGAGTCTTGCATACAGTTGTTACTCTGAACTTACGTAAGAATTCTCGTTTTCTCGTTTGGTTGTAGAATCAGTCAGTCTTGAAATCGAGATTCTATAGGTCAGCAGGAGCAACTCCCTTTCCTGATTGTGACCAGGAAGGGAAGAAGGGAAGGCTTCGCTCCCACACTCCTGCTCATCAGCTTCCCTGGACATTAAGGCCCAGCAATCCTGCCTGGGAGGCTGCGAGAACGAGACTGTTTTGTTGGGAAGTTGGACCAAAGACTCCTCATGGGCCCATCCAGCTCTGAACATCTAGAAATCCAGGGACATGGACAGAGAGTTCTTCCCCACCCTTTCACAGGGTTGTGACATGGCCTCCCAGTGTGCTCTCAGGTTCTTCTGTCTCTTGAGGTCAAGGGCCCTGGCAAAACCCTTTACTTGGACAGAGCAACTGTGGAAGTTAATCTTATGTGTCAACTTGACTGGGAAGAGATGTCAAGAGAAGTGGTAAAACATTATTATTAGGTGTGTCTGTAAGGGTGAGTCTGGAAGAGGTTAGCGTTTCTATCAGACTAGGTAAGGAAGATCCGCCCTCACCCACGCGGGCAGGCATCGTTCCATCCGTTGAGGAGCCGAACAGAAGAGTGGAGGAAAGGCACATTCTCTCGGAGCTGGGACATTCACCTTCTCCTGTCCTCGGACATCAGTGCTCCTGCTTCTGAAACCACCTTTGCAAAATTAATGACTGAAACAGCAAAAGAGATCTAACTTCACTGACTCCTTCTTGCTTCTAACCTCCAAGCTGCCCTTGTTCATTCCTGGGCATAAGCTGAACTAACTTTGGGAGAAACTTAGTTTATAGTTTACCTTTTTTTTTTTTTTTTTTGAGGCAGAGTCTCACTCTGTCGCCCAGGCTGGAGTGCAGTGGCGTGATCTCGGCTCACTGCAACCTCCACCTCCTGGGTTCCCACCATTCTCCTGCCTCAGCCTCCCGAGTAGCTGGGACTACAGGTGCCCAACAGCACACCCAGCTAATTTTTTGTATTTTTAGTAGAGACAGGGTTTCACCGTGTTAGCCAGGATGTTCTCGATCTCCTGACGTCGTGATCCACCCACCTCGGCCTCCCAAAGTGCTGGGATTACAGGCGTGAGCCACTGTGCCCGGCCTATAGTTTAAAACAAAGACCATAGTTTAAAACAAAGCCCTTTCCCAAAGCAGACCTCCTTCTTGCCTGGGGACTAGGTTGTCTTTGTAGGATTAACATTAGCCACAAGATTAGAAATCATAGTTTAAGAGACATGCAGCTGGAGGCTACAAGATTCTGACCCTCCCTAAACTGCTCCTAAGATCAGTGGCTTGAGATGTTTTGCAGACCTTGCACTTAATGGATCAGCTGGCATCATGCAGATTAATTAAGTGGCTCACCTGATCTTGTGGCCCCCACCCAGGAACTGACTCAGTGCAAGAGGACAGCTTCAATTCCCTATGATTTAATCTCTGACCAATCAGCACTCCTGGCTCACTGGCTTCCTCACACCCACCAAGCTGTCCTTAAAAACTCTGCTGCCCAAATGTTTGGGGAGACTGATTTGAGTAACAACGAAACTCCGTTCCCCTGCACAGCTGGCTCTGCGTGAATTACACTTTCTCCACTGCAATTCCTCTATCTTGCTAAATCGGCTCTATCCAGGCACTGGGCAAGGTGAGCCCATTGGGCAGTTACACTTCTCCAGCCTTCAAGCTCAGACTCAATTCCCCGACTGGCTTTCCTGGCTCTCTAGCCTGCGGAGAGCAGGTGGTGGAGTTTCTCAGTTTCCAGAATCGTGTGAGCTGATTCCCATAATCAATCTCATATACTATGTGTATCCTATGGATTCTGTTTCTCTGAAGAACCCCCCAAAATATAGCACACAATCCTAATTTTTCCTACCACTCACTCCCCAGCAACATTTTAATTTGGCCAAGTTCTCTGTTGCTTATAGCAGAACACAAAAGCACCAAACAGCAAAACAGGGAAGCAGGAATCTCTCTCCTTTGAGACCCAGAGCGCCACGCTGTGGAACAATTAGCTGTGTGGGGGCCCTCCCCTCCCTTCACCCTCACAAGTCAGACTCGCTTATAAACCCACCAGCCAAGTTAGGCCATCTTCACCTGTCCAGATCTGGAGATACTAGAAATCATCTTATCTCATATCCTTCCTTTAGGTAAAGGATACACTGAGACCCAGAGAGGCCGGCTTGCTGTGGGTTTAAAACACTCTTACTTCTAGGGCAGGGGTTCTCAAATGATTTGGTTCAAGGCCCCATTACACTCTTGAAAATGAGGACTCCAGGGGGCTTTCATGTGGGGATTATATCTGTTGATATTTACTGTATCAGAAGCCAAAACAGAAAAATTGTTAAAAAGTCTGAGAAGAGTAGCACTGACTTACAGTTTGCACATCTTACTCATGTCTGACTCAGCAGAAAGCAGCTGGAGTCTCTAATACTTCTGCATCTTTAGTCTACTGCAATATCACAGAGCATTAGCCTGTTGAAAATTCCAGTCTAAGCCGGGCACAGTGGCTCATGCCTGTAGTCCCAGCACTTTGGAGGGCTGCGGTGGGAAGATCGCTTGAGCTCAGGAGTTTGAACCAGCCTCAGCAACATAAAGAGACCCTGTTTCTACAAAAACTTAAAAATTAGTTGGGCGTGGTGATGCACACCTGTGGTTCCAGCAACTCAGGAGGCTGAGATGGGAGGGTTGCTTGAGGCTGGGAAGTTGAGGCTGCAGAGAGCCATGATCATGCCATGGAACTTCAGTCTGGGGAGTGAAGTGAGACCCTGTCAAAAAAAAGAAAGAGAAGAAGGGAAGAAGGGGAAAAGTAAATTCTAGTCTACACTTGTGAGAGTGAAAACAGTGTCATAGTATGATTATGAAAATAGTTTTGACCTTGCAGATCCCCTGAAAGATCTCAGGAGTTCCATGGGGATCCCCCGACCACACAGTGAGAACTATAGGTATAGAATAAGCAAGAGCATGTCTGGAGTCCTTGTCTCCTAAATCTCCATCTGCTACCTTTATTTCTTATTTTATTTCTTGCTTATTTTTATTTACTTGTTTATTTGTCTTGAGATGGAGTCTTGCTCTGTCACCAGGCTGGAGTGCAGTGGTGCCATCTCGGCTCACTGCAACCTCCACCTCCCGGGTTCAAGCAATTCTTGTGCCTCAGCCTCCAGAGTAGCTGGGATTACAGGTGTGCGCCACCACACCTGGCTAATTTTTGTATTTTTAGTAGAGACAGGGTTTCACCATGTTAGCTAGGCTGGTCTTAAACTCCTGACCTCAAATGATCCACCCACGTCAGCCTCCCAAAGTGCTGGGATTACAGGTGTGGGCCATCACGCCTGGCCTATTTTTTATTTTTATATACTAATTGTGGAGAATCCCTGGGTTTGTTTTTTTCCATCTTTCTTTTTTAATTTTTTTTGAGATGGGTCTTGCTACATTGCCCAGGCTAGACTCAAATGCCTGGGCTCAAGCAATCCTGCTGCCTCAGCCTCCTGAGTAGCTTCAATTACAGGTACATGCCAACACACTTGGCTCCATCTGCTGCCTTCCTATCTTACGGCAGTATTCTACATTACGCTGTCTCTTACCTGTATTGAAATCATGTATCCCATACACGTATACAATTACAATTTGTCAATTAAAAATTATATTAATTTTGAAAAACAATATGTAAAAGTTAACCCCGCAAAAATCAAATTTTTTTAGGACTTTAAAATAAAATCTGGAGAATAGCTAACATATTCTGTCAGGGCTGTCAGACTAAAAAGAGAAGTGCATGAGTCACTTCAAAACAATGGTTACTTTTCTCTTCAGAGAAATTGAACTAGAATTATAAAAGACTCATTCAAATGTTGTCATGGGCAGCAAAAAAAAAATAACAACAGTGATTTCCAGTCAAAGCCCCACGTGGACACATGAAATCACATTTGCAAAATTATGACTGAGACAGTGAACGAGATTTAACTTAACTGACTTTATCTTGCTTCTAATCTCCAAGGGGTCCTTGTTCATTCCTGGAGGTAGGCTGAACTAACTTTGGGGAAAACTTAGTGTATAGTTTATAGTTTAAACAAAGATGGTAACAGCCCTTTTCCAAACAGCCCTTTTCCTTCTTGCCTGGGGAATAGATTGACATTGTAGGACTAACATTAGCCAGAATATCAGAAATTATGGTTTAGGAGTCATGCAGCTGGAGGCTACAGAATCTTGACACTCCCTAAACTGCTTCTAAAATCAATGCTTGAGATATTTTGTAGACCCTGCACTTGATGGCAACACCCAGATAAAAAACCTGGCTCATCTGATCTTGTGGCCCCCACTCAGGAACTGACTGAATTCAAGAAAACAACTCTGACTCCCTAAGATTTTATCTCTGACCAATCAGCACTCCTGGCTCACTGGCTTCCCCCCACCGACCAAGTTATCCTTAAAAACTCTGCTCCCTGAATGCTCAGGGAGACTCATCTGAGTAATAATAAAACTCTGGTCTCCCACACAGCTGGCTCTGCGTGAATTACTCTTTCTCTACTGCAATTCCCCTGTTTTAATAAATCTGCTCTATCTAAGTGGTGGGCAAGGTGAACCCCCTGGACAGTTACAAATTTGGTAGCTCGTCCGGGATTGCCCTTGTGACTACCTGCCCATGGTTCAGTGGCAGCCCTCTAGCAATGGATCCAGAAGCCTGCCCAAGCAGCTGCCTAGTTCTCTTGGACTGGAGGCTGACCCTGATACTCTCACTACTGGTGGGGCACTGCTGACCCAATGTGCATGGATTTAATTGCAGTGGAGAAATAGTCACGGGGAGACATCCCTTAACTGTAGCCCTATCATGGGGTGTCTGTCTGTAGCCCCATGGTGGGGTGTCTGTCTGTAACCCCATTGCAGGTTGTCTAATCCAGATTGGTTAGTATCCTATGCACTGCCAATGCCTCCTTCCTTCTCCTGACTGGTTCTGTAGCCCTGTGGTGGGATGTCTATTTGTAGCTCCATCATGGGATGTCTGTGTCTGTAGCCCCATTGGAGGGTGTCTGTTCAGCTCCTGGGGAGTCTTGGTTGGCTCCTTCTAACTAGTAGGAAGACTTCTGGTTTGGGAGACTTCTTCTCAATTAGGAAGATTTTGAGGAGGTTTCTCAGAAGGAGAATAGAAAGATAGTTTGGAAGGGATACTCCTGGAGGTCTTGGTTAGGGATCTAATTGGGAAGGCCTGTGTCCTCTCATCTTTGTGTGTGTTTGTATATGTGGAAGGGATCTCAGAAGAGGTTACTGATGGAAGTCCAGCAGACCTAACTCAAAACCCTCCTTATTTGTCTGGTCACATTTGATGAGCCCTAGAGAAGGCTCAACAGGCCTGTCTCGGGGTGACTATCTGCTCTTCGTCTTGCCGAGAGACCCCATTGTGAATTACTATTCTAAGGTCATCCCTCCCCACCTGGAGTGGATCAAAGACAACAGGGACCAACGGGAAAAAGTTTTTGAGCTTTGCCAGGCTGATATTGGGTGCTGAACGAGGTGGCTAATGTGTGTTTTGTTATGTGTGTTTTGCTGGGATGGAAAATGTTAATTTGGTTCCCCATGCAGCCTGTTGGGCAGCATCTTGCCAATTAAGAATCTTGTCTGTGGTTCCGTAAAGCTCAGGAAAGGGTGATTTTCTCTTGTAAAGTGGCTTGATTCCCACAGCCATGGTGCAGTGAGCAGGGTCATTAGAAACCACTCTGTTCTGGAAGCTGCAGAGAAGGGGAGCCAGGAAGCCTAGTATGCTGGCAAAAAGGGTAAGAAATTCTTACCAGCCAAGTTTCTGGTCTCTCTCTCTCTCTTTCGCTGTCTGGGTAAACAGTAAACGTCACTATTTGTCTCTCTGCAAGCGTTTGATTAATAGAAAAAGGATTTGTGAAACTAGTTTTAGGTGGTAGCAAATCTGGTGTACTTTGTGCTAAGAATTTGTCTTTCTGTGTTCTGTAATGGAGAAAGGAGTATCACAGGATAGAACGTGGGTTCAGGACCCACTTTCAAGCCCACTTTTCAAGCCAGCCTGGCAGGCTGTTCAGCTGCAAACTGCTATGGGTCCCTGAAACCAATAGCAGATGAAATTTCTCTGTCTTGTTTTGTGTCCTTAAGAGCTTAACCTTGTGACCATGTGGGGATACTTTCTCCTGGTTTCTGCCATCTAGAAGACAGGAACTTGGGGATTCATGTCATAGTCAGCCCTAAACATTTTCTTGAGCAGCTAAAAACCTTTGCAACTTTTAAACTGGCTTCTCTAGGCTCCTTCTGGGAAGAGCAATAGAAACTGCTCAATGCTGTAACTCAGTGGCCAGGGCTTTGTCTTTTGACAATGGCAGCCTGGGTTCTAATTTTTTTTTTCTTTTTTTTTTTTTGAGACGGAGTTTCACTCTTGTTGCCCAGGCTGGATTGCAATGGCACCATGTCATCTCACCTCAACCTCCGCCTCCTGGGTTCAAGCAATTCTCCTGCCTCAGCCTCCTGAGTAGCTGAGATTACAGGCATGCGCCACCACGCCTGGCTAATTTTTTTATATTTTTAGTAGAGACGGGGTTTCTCCATGTTGGTCAGGCTGGTGTTGAACTCCCAACCTCAGGTGATTCACCCACCTCGGCCTCCCAAAGTGCTGGGATTACAGGCGTGAGCCACCGTGCCGGCCTGAGCCTGGGTTCTATTCTTGGCTTCTGGAATGATTCCCTTCTGGTTTTTTTACTTATGTAACTTTGCCATTTGTTGAGGTTTCCCCCCACCATGGATAGCTTCTGATTTCCTGTCTTGAAGTTTTATTTCTCTAAAATACCCTAGGGGAAATTCTAAATCTTGTAAAAAAAAAAAAAAAAAAAAAAAGAAACTGCTTACCATCTCTTTGAGACACTCACGTTTCCATGGTTAAGTTATATCCTTAATTAAAACTTATTAATTTCATGTGGAAAGTTACCTATGGAATTCAAAAGCCAAAAATATTGGCCACTTGGCATGGCTAAAGTTGGGTAATAAAAAATTTAAAAGAATTTTTTTTAAAAAAGCACCATAGTTAAAAGTCAGCTTAATTAAAAGTGGATAAACAAGCTAGAAGTTTATTTATTTATTTATTTTATTGTTGAGATGGAGTCTCACTCTGTCACCCAGGCTGGAGTGCAATGGCAAGATTTAAGCTTACTGCAACCTCCGCCTCCCAGGCTCAAGCAGATTCTCCTGCCTCAGCCTCCTGAGTAGCTGGGATTACAGGCGTGCGCCACCACTCCTGGCTAATTTTTGTATTTTTAGTAGAGACAGGATTTCAACATGTTGACGAGGCTGGTCTTGAACTCCTGGCCTCCTGATTTGCCCACCTCGGCCTCCCAAAGTGCTGGGATTACAGGTGTGAGCCCCATGCCCGGTGCTATAAATATATTTAAAAGCCCTTTATGTTTTTCTCTCCTTGGATCTTGTTTTTCCTGGAAAAAGTTTTTTTTTCTTCTCAGCTGACTGAATTATTTTCCTCCATTTTTTTTGTCTTGCCAATCTTAATGCACACATGAGAGGCCCTGAGATGACTTCTGGTAGCCTGGGACTTCTTGGGAAAAACAGGAAGCACCACCAACCCCATTTTGGAAGAAAAAAAAAAAAGCTCTGTTTTCCACATAGAACCCTAGCAATTAAAAGCAGATAAATCCCTCTCAAAATCAAAGGCTCTGTTCTGTTTTGCATTGCGTTATCTAATGGTTTTGAGTTTCAGGCGTATCAGAAATTACTTCCCTTTATTTGAAAACACTTGGTGTCTAATAACTAGGTAGGAGATATACTTTAGTGCATGGCTAATAGCAGTTATGGAAGAATACCTGATTGTTCGCATACTTGGATTAGAGAAGCATGCTCTTGGCCACCTGGAGGATGTGGAAACACCCCCAGCCCCACTGAGAGATAAGACTCTTATGGGGAATGGTCCAATTACAAAATGGGCTGATTGGCTTTGGTTTGCCTTGCAATGAAACGCAGGGTAGCAGCACTGCACTGTCTTCTCCTGTAGTAGTTCCCTCCTTTTGGGGATGGAGAACCCAGTTTAAAATGGCACCCTTAATTCTGGGGATCTGTCTTTGCCTTCAGCTGCTTATTTGCTGCTTACTTGGCCCTAGATATGCATGCTTTCCTGGCCCTGTTCCTCCAAGGGCTCCACCCTGAAGCCAGTAATCCAATTAAGAAACTGGCAAATGAAAATTTTACAAGTGTTAAATCTTCTCTCCAGGGCCGGGCATGGTGGCTCACACCTGTAATTCCAGCACTTTGGGAGACTGAGGCAGGAGGATCACGAGGTCAGGAGTTTGAGACTACCCTAGCCAATATAGTGAAACCCCGTCTCTCCTAAAAATACAAAAATTAGCCAGGTGTGGTGACGCACGTCTGTAATCCCAGCTACTCAGGAGGCTGACGCAGGAGAATCGCTTGAACCCGAGAGACGGAGGTTGCAGTGAGCCAAGATCATGCTATTGCACTCCAGCCTGGACAACAAGAGGAAAACTCCATCTCAAAGAAATAAAAAATAAATAAATAAATAAATTAGGAGAATTAAAAATTGTGGCTGGGCCAGGTGCAGTGGCTCACACCTGTAATCCCAGCACTGGTGGGGACTGAGGCAGGAGGATCACTTGAGCCTGGGCAACAACTGAGAACTTCTCTCTACAAAAAATTTCAAAAATGGACCTGGTGTGGTGTCATGTGCCTGTAGTCCTAGCTACTTGAGAGACTGAGGTGGGAAGATTGCTTGAGCCCAGGGTTTGGGGCTTCAGTTCACTAGAGATGATTGCATCCACCATTGCACTCTAGGCATGGCAACAAAGCAAGACCCCGCCCTCTAACTCAAAAAAAGTTGCAGTTAGACAAGAAGGATAAATGATAAGTATTTAAGGTGATGAATACAGTAATTAGCTTGATTCAATAATTACACACTGTATACATATAGTAACATCACTGTGTACCCCATAATTATATATGGTTATATAATTAAAATTTGTCAAAAAATAAAAATAAAATTTTAAAATTAAAAAAAGTTAAAGGTTGAAAGGAGGAAAACTACTTTTATGAAATCGAACAAAAATATGAAATGCCACCTAGACATTTACTTAACAAGAAATGTGCAAGATCTATATGAAGAAATGTTTTAAGTACTGAGAGTCACCAAAGAAAGCTTGAACAAAGGCTGAGATAAACCATGCCCTAGGCTAAGAAGTCTCATGTATTAGACTGTTCTTGCCTTGCTCTAAAGAAATACCTGAGACTGGCTAATTGATAAAGAAAAGACGTATAATTGGCTCACGGTCCTGCAGGCTGTACAGGAGGCATACTGCTGGCATCTGCTTAGCTTCTGGGGAAGCCTCAGGAAATTTACAATCATGACAGAAGTCAAAGGGGGAGCACACACACCATATGGCCAAAGCAGGAGCAAGAAAGTGTGAGGGGGAGGTGCCACACACTTTTAAATGACCAGACCTCATGAAAACTCAGGATCTCGAAGACAGTACCGAGGGGATGGTGTCAAACCATTTATCAGAACTCCTCCCCCATGATCCAATCATCTCTCACCAGGCCCCACCTCCAATATCGGGGATTACAATTCAACAGGAGATTTGGTAGGGACACAGATCCAAACCATATCAGCTCAGTCCCAGAAATCTGATATTTCTCCCCCAGTTAATCTAAATAGTTAACATAGTTGGGGGAGAAAAGGGAGAACTACACAGAATAATGTGAGAAAAGCCAGAAAACTCTGAAAAGGAAGTGTAAAGATGAAAAAGTAATCCCTGCAGATATTAAAATATTTTAGAAACTAGAGTTGGCGGCGGGGTGCGGTGGCTCACGCCTGTAACCCCAGCACTATGGAGGCCAAGGCAGGCGGATCACCTGAGGTCAGGAGTTCGAAACCAGCCTGGCCAAAATGAGAAAACCCTGTCTCTACTAAAAATACAAAAATTAGCTGGGTGTGGTGGCGCGTGCCTGTAATCCCAGCTACTCAGGGGCTGAGGCGGGACAAGTGTTTGAACCCGGGAGGTTGCAGTGAGCCAAGATCGTGCCACTGCACTCCAGTCTGAGGGACAGGGTGAGACGCTGTCTCAAAAAAAAAAAAAAAGAAAAGAAAAAAGAAAAAAAAGAAACCAGAGTTGGCTTTTGGAGGCAGGACAAGAAGGGCTTGCTCCTCGGCGGCCATTGTGTTTTTGTGCGCTCTTGGATGGGGTTATGTCCCACATTGTATTTGTTTATGTCTGGCCCCCAACTAGTCCATGGCCTCGGGTCCATGGGCCCCAGTATATTCATCTCTGCGTACCCAGTGCCCAGATTGCTTGACACACAAAGGGAGCTCAGGGAATGACGCAAGGAGCAACACCTGCATCGCACGACCTTCCTCCTCCCTCCGTGAAGGGACACGTGTGTGGGGCGAGCAGCGCAGCCAGGTCATGACCTTCCTCTCCCTCCCTGAAGGGACACGTGTGCGGGGAGGGCGGGGAGAGCAGCTCGTGGCCAGGTTGGCCGCACGTGATGCTAGCGTGCTCTTTACTCTCCAGGTTTCGGGTGTCTATGTTATACCTCCAAATGTTGAAATTATTCATATCAGTAAGGTTCTCCATTCACATTGCAAGTGTTCTGTTTGCTTTATGCGAAGGTGTTCTCCCATCAGCTCCCTTACCACTGCCATAACAAGAGCCAAGCTGCCGACATCCCTTCCCTGACAGAGGGTGCTTTTGTACTTCTCAGCTCCTGTCCAAGAGCCTCAGGATGATAGACAGCCTCCTCTGTTCTCCTGGAAACACCCCTCCACCTCCAAATCTGTCAGTCATGGTGCCTGGAACCACCCAGAGCCATCTGTTGTCCCTGTTAAAATAATCACGTTACTGGAAGTTTGGTTTCTTCTGAGGCCTCTCCCCTTTACTGGTAGATGGCCACCCTCTTGCTGTGTCCTCACATGCTCTTCCCTCAATATGTGTCTGTCCTAATCCACGCCTCTTATATGCACACTCACAGGGCACCCTACATACAGTTGCCTCCTTGTCCCGTCTCTTCCAGGGATCAGCACCATGCTTTGCAAATAGGTGCACAATCAATGCCTATCAGATTTATATGCACTAGTTAAAATGAACTTGATTCATTTTTCTTGATAATGTTAATTCAATCCTTATGAAAAATTATGTCCAAGAGGTATGCAAGGCACTTTGTAAACATCACCCTACTTAATTCTCTGAACTGGCTTTGTCAGAGGCATGCGAACCAGAACTACTCCATCTCGAATGGGCTGGGTAAAATGAGGCTGAGGCCTACTTGGCTGCATTCCTAGATGGTTAAGGCATTCTAAGTCACAGGATGAGATAGGAGGTCGGCACAAGATACAGGTCATAAAGACCTTGCTGATAAAACAGTTTGCAGTAAAGGAGCCGGCCAAATCCCACTAAACCCAAGATGGCTATGAGAGTGACCTCTGGTCGTCCTCACTGCTACACTCCCGCCGGCACCATGACAGTTTACAAATGCCATGGCAATGTCAGGAAGTTACCCTATATGGTCTAAAAAGGGGAGGCATGAATAATCCACCCCTTGTTTAGCATATAATCAAGAAATAACCGTAAAAATGGGCAACCCACAGCCCTCAGGGCTGCTCTGTCTATGGAGTAGCCATTCTTTTGTTCCTTTACTTTCCTAAAAAACTTGCTTTCACTTTACTCTATGGACTCACCCTGAATTATTTCTTGCGCGAGATCCAATAACCCTCACTTGGGGTCTGGACAGAGACCGCTTTCCTGTAACAGTTTTACTCACAACACATCTGACACCAAACCTGTGGGTTTTTTTCTTCTACACAGCAGGCACCAACTAGGTATCCTACAATTCAATTCTGACATGTCTACCTGGAGCTAGAGTGAAATCCCACAGGTTATGGGCTTGGTCCCACAAAACTGCCCCCACTTCATGGAAGTTCCAGGTTTGTTAACCAGCACTTTTGACTGACCAGCTATAAATTCAAGGGTTCCCACACACAATCCCTCTATCTCAGGTTTGGTAAATCAAGAGAATGGGCTCACAAAACTCAGGAAAGTGCTTTACTTCCTGTTACCAGTTTATTATTATAAACAGCACAACTCAGCAACAGCCAGATGAAAGACACAGACAGGACAAGGTATGCGAGGCAGAGTCAGCGCTTCCACACCTTCACCAGGCACAACACCCTCCCAGCACACGAATGTGCTCCTGAACCCAGCAGCTCTCCAAACCTTTTCTTTAGGTTTCTTATGGTTCCATTATTTAAGCATGAATGATCAAATCACTGGTCATTGGCGATTAAACTCAATCTCCAGCCCCTGTTCTTTCCCTGGAAGTCACGGACTGGAGCTGAAAGTTGCAAGGCAAAGTTGATTCCCCTGGCAACCAGCCCTCATCCTCCAGGAGTCACCTCATTAGCATAAACACAGGCATGGATGAAAGGGGCTCGTTAGGAATAACAAAAGATTTCCTCTTGCCCCTATCAGTCAGGGAATTCCAAGGGGTTTAGAAGCCTCCATCAGGAAACAGGGACAAAGACCAAATATCTAATTCTTATTATCACAGATCCTCACAGCCATCCTGTCTGGCGTGTACCGTTAACAACGTCCTCATTCTATCGATGATGTAACTGGTAGATAATAATCACCACATGAATTATAGCATTTTTTAAAATTATACTTTAAGTTCTAGGGTACGTGTGCACAACGTGCAGGTTTGTTACATATGTATACATAAACCATCATTCTGAGCAAACTATCGCAAGGACAGCATTTGTTATATATAAACAACAGTTCTGTAAATTATAGATCGTACTCTACATTGCAATATATATAATCACACATGTACTATGTATAAGGTATTATCATATAACCTAAAAGAAGTAGACATCAGTACTTGTTATTGCATTGTATATTATGTATACTAAATTATTTCTAAAATAACCCTGTGTGGTGAGAACTACTTGATCCTTATTTGATGAGTGAGGAAACAGTGCTAAGAGAAATTACATAACATGCACATACCCACTAGTATGTATGTCTCCTAAAGAAATTCGGATTCATGCTCACAGTGATACGTGTACAAGGGTCCTCAGTGAGGAACTGTTTGCAGCACCAAGAGAGTAAAAACTGCAAAGGGGGAATCATATCAGTGTAACCGCCCAGTGGCTTCACCTTGCTGCTGCCTGGACAGAGCCGATTTCTCAAGAGAGCGGAATTGCAATAGAGAAAGAGTAATTCACGCAGAGCCGACTGTGCAGGAGACAACAGTTTCATTATTACTCAAATCACTCTCCCTGAGCATTCGGGCAGCAGAGTTTTTAAGAACAACTTGGTGGGTGTGGGGAAGCCAGTGAGCCAGGCGTGCGACTGGTCAGAGCTGAAATCCTAGGGAGTCGGAGCTGTCCTCTTGTGCTTACTCTGCTTCTGGTGGGGACGCGGGACCGGCTGGCGAGTCCAAGTGCAGCCATCAGTTGTCAGAAGTGCAAAAGCCTGAAAACACATCTCAAAAGGCCATTCTCAGGTGCTACAGTAGCGATGTTCTTTGCAGGAGTAATTAGGCAAGTTGCAAATCTTGTGTCCTCTGGAATAATGGCCGGTAATTACGCTTACGGCTCAGTAGAATTCAGGCCCCTGTCATCCTCCTAACTTGGCGGCCTTTCATTAGTTTTACCAGGGCAGTTTAGTTTTGGGGAAGGGCTGTTATCATTTAAACCATAAACTAAATTTCTCCCGAACTTAGCGTGGCCTGTAACCACCCAGTGGGTTCACCTTGCTGGCTGCCTAGATGGAGCCGATTTATCATGACAGGAGAACTGCAGTAGAGAAAGAGTAATTCGCGCAGAGCCGGCTGTGCAGGAGCCTTGTTTTATTATTACTCAAATCAGTCTCCTCAAGCATTTGGAGATCAGAGGTTTTAAGGACAATTTGGTGGGTGAGGGGAAGCCAGTGTGTCAGGAGTGCTGATTGATTCGGTAGGACATTAAATCATAGGGAATTGAAGTTGTCTTCTTGCACTGAGTCAGTTCCTGGGTGGGGGCCACAAGATCACATGAGCCAGTTTATCCATCTGGGTGGTGCCAGCTGATCCATTAAGTGCAGGGTCTGTAAAACATCTCAAGCACTGAGCGGTTTAGGGAGGGTCACAATCTTAGAGCCTCCAGCTGCATGACTCCTAAACTATAATTTCTGATCTTGTGGCTAATTTGTTAATCCTACAAAGGCAGTCTAGTCCCCAGTCAGGAAGGATGTTTGTTTTGAGAAAGGGCTGTTATCGTCTTATCGTCTTTGTTTTAAACTATAAATTAAGTTCCTCCCAAAGTTAGTTCAGCCTACACCCAGGAATGAACAAGGACAGCTTGGAGGTTAGAAGCAAGATGGAGTTGGTTAGGTCAAGTCTCTTTTGCTGTCTCAGTTACGATTTTGCAATGGCAGTTTCAGGCCCATGCTTAGGAATGAGCTAAGAGAGCCAGCCTGTGAGGCTAAAAGCAACATGGAGTCAGCCATGTCAGGTTTCTCTGACTGTCTCAGTGATAATTTTGCAATGGTGGTTTCATCCGCACATCTACGCTGCATCTGACGTGTTGCTAAGTGAAGAAAGCTGTGTGCCACATACATGTATCTCCTCATCCAACTGAAATTTTTTAAAAATTGTTTTAATTTTTGTGCAGATAATACAGACATGTACCCCACCACACACAATGTAAACTGCAAAAGCAAAAAACCGAGATGCCTCGTCCACAGTTCAACCCTCTGCGAACAGAGCCATCCTGGATAAAAGGTATGCCTCCAAAATATCTAAATATAGATAAAGATATATCGAGAGGGAAATAATGATATATAAGCGCCCATTCACATTTGTGTGTGTGCGCCTGTGTATCAACAAATAACACACATGTACCGAAGTGTTATGGTTTATTTCCTTCTCACAACCAACTCTAAACAAAGCCATGATACTGCCCAAAGTCAGCAAGACGGAGGCCAACCAGCTGGCTGGCCTCCTTTAGGAGCTTCAAACTTTTCAATCCCAAATTCAATAGGAAGAAGGAAGAAGAAATAATGAGGAAGAGGGAGGAATACGGAGGCGGGGAGGGGGCAGAGGAGAAAGAAAAGGCAGAAACAGAAAAGAGGGAACAATGTCCCGTACCTTGCTTTGCTCCTGCAAAGTAAAGGCCACCTGAGGAGGGTCGGGGTGAATCCTTCACATGGGTGGACAGAAAAGCGAACACTTTCCACCAGAGGGCGCGGGAAAGGGGCCTCAGACTTGCTCGGCTGAAACCCAACCTTGTAAGAAAAAACAGAAAAGGCGCTCAGTGCTGGTCCCAGCACCCAGTGTGCGCTGGCTGCAGGCACCGGGTGGGCCTGAGCGGCTGCGGGGCTCGGTGCCCTGGGCTCGCACCGGGGGTTGGCGAGGGGCGCGGGGCGCGGGGCGCGGGGAAGCCTCTGCAGGGCTGGTCGCTTTCACACTCCCAGTAACATAGACTGGGGCGCTGGGGAAGCTGTTAAAGAAGCCAGGCTTCGAGATGTAACACGCCCCGATTCGTTTCATTTTTTCTTTTTTTTTTTTTTCTTTGAGACGGAGTCTCACCCGGTTGCCCAGGCTGGAGTGCAGTGGCGCGATCTCGGCTCACTGCAACCTTCGCCCCCGGGCTCAAGCGATTCTCCTGCCTCAGCTTCGGGAGTAGCTGGGATTACAGGCGCGCGCCACCACGCCCGGCTAAATATATATATATATATATTTTTTTTTTTTTTTTTTTTTTTTTTTTTTGAGATGGAGTCTCGCTATGTCGCCCAGGCTGGAGTGCAATGGCACTATCTCAGCTCACTGCAACCTCCGCCTCCTGGGTTCAAGCGATTCTCCTGCCTCAGCCTCCTGAGTAGCTGCGATTACAGGCACATGCCACCACACCCGGCTAATTTTTTTTGTATTTTTAGTAGAGATGGGGTTTCACCATGTGGGTCAGGCTGGTCTTGAACTCCTGACCTCGTGATCCGCCCACCTCGGCCTCCCAAAGTACTGGGATTATAGGCGTGAGCCACCACGCCCGGCCTAATTTTTGTATTTTTAGTAGAGACAGGGTTTCACCATTTTGGCCAGGCTGGTCTCGAACTCCTGACCTCAGGTGATTCGCCCGCCTAGGCTGGGATTACAGGCGTGAGCCACCGCGCCCGGCATATTTTTTTTGTACTGTCAGTAGAGATGGGGCTTCACCATGTTGCCCAGGCTGGTCTCAAACTCCTAAATTCGAGTGACCCGCCCGCCTCGCCCCCTGCAGTGCTGGATTACAGGCGTGAGCCTCAGTGCCCGGGTTTCCCATTCATTTTCTAGCTGGACACGGAAGGATGTGACCGAGACGCTGACGGCGTCCGTACTGTCCTCGGCGCCCTCTGGTGGTCACAGCCAAGTACAACTTGCGGAACAATTCAGCTCCAGCTAAATTTGGCAGTGCCAGGGATGGGTCTATCACTCTTCTGGGAGGAAAACGCATGACCTTGCAATTTGTTTTAAGAACGACCATAGTGGGCTGAGCGCAGCGGCTCACGCCTGTAATCCCAGCACTTTGGGAGGCCGAGGCGGGCGGATCACGAGGTTAGGAGTTTGAGACCAGCCTGGCCAACATGGTAAAACCCCGTCTCTACTAAAAATACAAAAATTAGCCGGGTGTGGTGGCGCGCGCCTGTAATCCCAGCTACTCGGGAGGCTGAGGCAGGAGCACTGCTTGAAGCCGGGAGGCGGAGGTTGCAGTCAGCTGAGATTGTGCCATTGTACTCCAGCTCTGGGCGACAAAAACGAACAAACAACAACAAACAAACAAACAAAACGACAGGAGCGACCGGATCACAGGCTCAGGCCTGCGATCTCAGTACTTTGGGAGGCCAAGGCGGGTGGATCACACGAGGCCAGGAACATGCGAATCGCTTGAACCCAGGAGGTGGGGGTTACAGTGAGCCAAGATCGCGCCACTGCACCCCAGCCTGGGCAACTAAGCGAGACCGTGTCTCAAAAAACAAACAAAAAAAAAACAGGGCCTGTGCCTCTCCACGGTCACCCTTTACTAAATGTGCATGTGCGTGTTCCCACTAGTCCCGGGAATGGACGCCACGTCTCCGCAGCACCTGCACGGCTGGAATACCGCAGAATTGTGACAGGCATTGGAACCAGAGCAATTCCATCTTGAACATGGGCTGGGTAAATTGAGGCTGAGACCTGGAAGGCTGCACTCCCAGACAGTTAAGGCTTTCTAAGTCACAGGATGAGATAGGGGGTAGGCACACGATACAGGTCATAAAGACCTTGCTAATAAAACAGGTTGCAGTAAAAAAGCCGGACAAATCCTACCAAAACCAAGATGGCCACGAGAGTGACCTCTGGTTGTCCTCCTTGCTACACTCCCGCCAGCGCCATGACAGTTTACAAACGCCATGGCAACCTCAGGAAGTCACCCGGTATGGTCCAAAAAGGGGAGACATGAATAATCCACCCCTCGTTTAGCATATCATCAAGAAATAATCATCAAAATGGGCAGGCAGCAGCCCTTGGGGCTGCTCTGTCTGTGGAGAAGCCAATCTTTATTCCTTTACTTTCTTGATAAACTTGCTTTCACTTTACAGAGTCACCCTAATTCTTTCTTGTGCGAGATCCAAAAACCCTCTCTTAGGGTCTGGATTGGGACCCCTTTCCAGTAACAGAAGCACAAATACGGTTTTGTCGCCCACATTCTAGGGCTTCTGGATGTGCAAATACGGCTTTTCCCCCCGCATTCTAGGGCTTCTGGATGTGCAAATACGGCTTTTTCCCCCGCATTCTAGGGCTTCTGGATGTGCATTCTGGGCAGGCCTTAGATTCCAGGGTTAGCCACTGCAGTGACTGCTCAAGATCACTCCTTGGCCCCAGGCCAGACAGGGTGCAGAGGATGACTGTCCCAGGATGGATCACCCCAGAATCCCCAGTAGCAGCACATTACTTGTAAAAAACATTCTTTTCAGGATTTGTCCCACTCGAGACACTTTAATTTTAGAATAGGCTACACGACTGCTAATGAGTAGTAAGAGCAGACACTGTGCTTGGAGCCATAATAAACCCTCCTCCACTGGGAGTGCATCTTCACTTTCCCATTCCTGGAGGTGAGAAGAGAGAGTAGCTGAGAACATTCTGAGTTATGTAAGGCATACAACATTTATTTATTTATTTATTTTGAGACAGAGTCTTGCTCTGTGACCTAGGCTGGAGCGCAGTGATGTAATCGAGGCTCTCTGCAGCCCCTGCCTCCCGGGTTCAAACAATTCCCCGGGAGGCATACAAAATTTATCAGGCTCAGAGAGACAGCAGTATGGGGGGGCGGGGGCAAGGCGGGGGCAGTTGTTTAAAGGCATTTTGTTCCTGACTAGCTGCATCACCTATTATCTCCATGTTGCTAGCGTTTGTGATACAAAGAAAAATGTATAGCTAACCAATAGCTTATGTTATTTTAATGTAAATTTTTTATAAACAGCTGAGGAACTGCCTCTTTCATCCTTTAAAAACTCACTTGCAACTGCTGCTAATTGGAGGATATATTCAGAGCAACTTGAATCTATCTCTCCCGGCTTACAGTCCTCAAACTTGGCCCAAATAAACTCCACTTATATTAATTTTGCCTCAGTTTCTTCTTTAATCAACAAAGGGAAGGGAAGTGCCTAAGGGAAGTGGGGCTGCCTAAGAATGCTCAAAGCAAGCCCACCACTGAGGTCTGGGCAGAGAGTGATACTTCAGGCTTTACTGCTCCTCTCAACCTGGGAAATTTTCCTTTTGTTTTGCATTAAAATACAGTGGGGGCAACCAAACTCCCTCGATGAAAAAACGGATAAGGACAATTTGAAAAACACAAATAACTGAATACTCATTCAGCTTTTAAAAGACGAAATTGGCCAGGCGCGGTGGCTCACACCTATAATCCCAGCACTTTGGGAGCCCAAGGCGGGTGGATCACAAGGTCAGGAGATCGAGACCATCCTGGCTAACACGGTGAAACCCCGTCTCTACTAAAAATACAAAAAATTAGCCGGGCGTGGTGGCGGGCGCCTGTAGTCCCAGGTACTCAGAGGTTGAGGCAGGAGAATGTCGTGAACCCGGGAGGCGGAGCTTGCAGTGAGCCGAGATCGCACCACTGCACTCCAGCCTGGGCGACAGAGCCAGACTCTGTCTCAAAAAAAAAAAATTCAAAATTTTGTTATATGGACAATAGGGATAAATCTTGAGGACACTATGCCAAGTGAAATAACCAAGTAACAAAAGAGATACTGGGCCAGGTACGGTGGCTCACACCTGTAATCCCAGCACTTTGGGAGGTCCAGGCAGAAGGATCACGAGATCAGGAGATGGAGACCATCCTGGCCAACATGGTGAAACCCCGTCTCTACTAAAAATACAAAAATTAGCTGGGCGTAATGGCGCATGCCTGCAGTCCCAGCTACTCAGAAGGCTGAGGCAGGAGAATCACTTGAACCAGGGAGTCGGAGGTTGCAGTGAGTGGAGATCGCGCCACTGCACTCTAGCCTGGCGACAAAGGGAGACTCCGTCTTAAAAAAAAAAAAAAAAAGCCAGTGGCACAGTAATCATTCTCCTACAATTACCCATGCTATGTGAGTTAAAATAAAATTTTGTATGCTTATCTCCCTGTTAATCTGCCTATTGTCAGTTGATTTTGCAGCAAAACTTCAGAGAGTGAAGCAGCTTTCTCTTGGCCCCTACAGATTTGGCGCTGTGAGCAGGATCACCAAAACTGTTTAGCTCTTCTGAAGCCAGGAGTCCAAGGAACCTGGGGCCTGACAGGCCAGCAGAAGGGGAAGAATTTGGGAGTAGTTAGATTCTTGGCATCTGTAAAAAGTAAAGTAGAGGTTCCTCTTCAAAGACTTTCCTCCCCATCTAATTAGGAATAAATAGTAACTTCTATTAGAAGCAAAATTTATTCAAAGACCTGTGCTAACATTCTTAAATATCTGCTAGCCGTAATAAAGAAATCAATGTTCTTTATGTTCTTAGCTCCCACAATTTAGCCTAAATATCTGCCCTGGCATGCTTATACTGGTCCAAGTAAGCATTAGGTCACAGCCTGTTCCTCTTCCTTATTTGAAGGTGTTTTTACCTTTCTCAGCATTCCACCAGTTACTTCCTCTTTCCTTTGTTCCCCTCTACCTTTGCCTCTTTTAAAAAGTTCTAAGTTGCTAGCCAATCGAGACAAATACAGAATGTGAGGTCCCGCTCCAGCCAGTGGAAACCAGACACAGCAGTAGGGAGGACGCGTCAGGTTATAAATGACCCTGTCTCCTTTGTTCAATGCACTCTCATGGCAAAACTGCTGATGAGTGTACCCTTTCTGCAAGAAGTAAAAATGGCCTTACTAAATAAATTAAATTCATGTTCAAGTGCTATTTCTTTACCGCACCAAGGAAGAAACATTTCAAACAGCATCTGTCTGTGCAATCCAATCAAGCAGACAGTAAAACTGTTTCCTTTTCCTTTTCCAAATTTAAGATAAATGGAAAGAAAGAATTTATTTATTTATTTAGAATCAGCTCTGTTGCCCAGGCTGGAGTGCAGCGGGACAGTCATGGCTCACTGCAGACTTAACCTCCTGGACTCGAGGGATCCTCCTGCCTCAGCTTCCTGTGTAGCTGGGACCATAGGTGCACTCCACCATTCCCTGCTAACTTTTTGATTTTTTTGTAGAGATGGAGTCTCAGTTGTTGAGGCTGGCCTCAAACTCCTGTGTTACTGGAAAGGGGTCCCAATCTAGACCCCAAGAGAGGGTTACTGGACCTCCCACAAGAAAGAATACAGGGCGAGTCCATAGAGTAAAGTAAAAGCAAGTTTATTAGGGAAGTAAAAGAAACAAAAGAATGGCTACTGCATAGGTACAGCCGTGGTGTGAGCTGCTCAACCGAGTATACCTACAGTTATTTCTTGATTGTATGCTAAACAAGGGGTGAATTATTCATGAGTTTTCCGGGAAAGAGGACTGGATTTCCAGGAACTGAGGGTTCCTCCCCACTTTCAGACCATATAGGGTAACTTCTGGATGTTGCCATGGTATTTGTAAACTGTGGTGGTGCTGGTGGGAGTGTCTTTTAACACGCTAATGCCTTATAATAAGTATCACATAATGAGCAGTGAGGATTACCAGAGGTCACTTTCATCAGCATCCTGGTTCTGGTGGGTTTTGGCCGGCTTCTTTACCACATCCTGCTTTATCAGTGGGGTTGTTGTGACCTGTATCTTGTGCTGACCTCCTAACTCATCCTGTGACTAAGAATGCCTAAGCTCCTGGGAGCCCAGCAGTTCTCAGCTTTTTTTTACCCAGCCCATCTTCAAGATGGAGTCCCTCTTGTTCAAATATATCTGACATCTGGACTCAAGGAATCCTCCTGCCTTGGCCTCCCAAAGTACTGGAATTACAGGGTGAGCCACTGCACCCAGCCAAGAAAAGCATTTATACAGGCTAATTTTAGACACACAAACGCTGGTTTATTTTTGGTATGACTATTTCATGTTGTCTGATCTTTTTCCTTTCAGAAACATTCTTTTTTTTCCTGTGTCTCTGTCTTGCTGTCATAAAGATTCCCTCTCATCTTGCTTAATATCTTTTATGTCAGGCTCTCAAGAGCCTGACTTGTGACCAAGTGGGGAGCACTCTTGCTTGGTCTCTACCAACCCGGGGAGTGGTTGGGGGAGTGGCATGACTTTTGGGACTTTTGGGTCATGTGTGTTGGTCAGTTGTATTAGTCCATTTTCACTCTGCTTACAAAGACATACCCAAGACTGGGAAGAAAAAGAGGTTTAATTGGACTTACAGTTCCACATGGGCTGGGGAAGCCTCAGAATCATGGCAAAGGGCAAAAGCCACTTCTTACATGGCAGCAGCAAGAGAAAATGAGGAAGAAGCAAAAGTAGAAACCCCTGATAAATCCATCAGATCTTGTGAGACTTATTCACTATCACGAGAATAGCATTGAAAAGACCAGCCCCCGTGATTCAATTACTTCCCCTTGGGTCCCTCCCACAACATGTGGGAAATCTGAGAGGTACAATTCAAGTTAAGATTTGGGTAGAGGCATGGCAAAACCATATCATTCCACCCCTGGTGGCTCCAAATCTCATGTCCTCACATTTCAAAACCAATCATGCCTTCCCAACAGTCCCCCAAAGTCTTAACTCATTTCAGCATTAACCCAAAAGTCCATAGTCCAAAGCCTCATCTGAGAAAAGGAAAGTCCCTTCCACCTATGAGCCTGTAAAATCAAAAGTCAACTGGTTACTTCCTAGATACAATGGGGGTACTGGTATTGGGTGAATACAGCCGTTCCAAATGGGGGAAATTGGCCAAAACAAAGGGGTTACAGGGCCCATTCAAGTCTGAAATCCAGCAAGGCAGTCAAATTTTAAAGCTCCCAAAATGATCTCCTTTGACTCCAGGTCTCACATCCAGGTCACACTACTGCAAGTGGTGGGTTCCCATGGTCTTGGGCAGCTCTGCCTCTGTGGCTTTGCAGGATACAGCCTCCCTCCCGGCTGCTTTCATAGGATGGTGTTGAGTGTCTGCAGCTTTTCCAGGTGCATGGTGGAAGGTGTTGGTGGATCTAGCATTCTGAGGTCTGGAGGATGGTAGCCCTTTTCTCACAGCTTCACTAGGTGGTGCCCCAGTAGGGACTCTGTGTGGGGGCTCCCACCCCACATTTCCCTTCTGCATTGCCCTAGCATAGGTTCTCCATCGGGGCCCCACCCCTGCAGCAAACTTCTGCCTGGGCATCCAGGCATTTCCATATGCCCTTTGAAATCTAGGCAGAGGTTCTCAAACCTCAATTCTTGACTTCTGTGCACCCACAGGCTCAACACCACATGGAAGCTGCCAAAGCTTGGGGCTTCCACCCTCTTCTACCCTCTGAAGCCACAGCCTGAGCTGTACATTGGTCTCTTTCAGCTGGGACACAGGGCACCAAGTCCCCAGGCTGCACACAGCCTGGAGACACTGGGCCTAGCCCACAAAACCACTTTTTCCTCTGGGCCTCCAGGCCTGTGATGGGAGGGGCTGCCATAAAGGTCTCTGACATGGCCTGGAGACATTTTCCCCATGGTCTTGGGGATTAACATTAGGCTCCTTGCTACTTACTTGCAAATTTCTGTAGCCAGCTTGAATTTCTCCCCAGAAAATGGGTTTTTCTTTTCTCTTACATTGTCAGGCCACGAATTTTCCAAACTTTCATGCTCTGTTTCCCTTTTAAAACTGAAGGCTTTTAGCAGCACCCAAGTCACCTCTGGAATGCTTTGCTGCTTAGAAATTTTTTCCATCAGATACCCTAAACCATCTCTCTCAAGTTCAAAGTTCCACAAATCTCTAGGGCAGGGGCAAAGTGCCTTCATTCTCTTTGCTAAAACATAACAAGAGTCAGCCAGACTCGGTGGCTCACGCCTGTAATCCCTGCACTTTGGGAGGCCAACGTGGGTGGATCACCTGAGGTCAGGAGTTTGAAAACAGCCTGGCTAACATGGCAAAACACAGTCTCTACTAAAAATAGAAAAATTAGCGGGGAATGGTGGCGCACACCTGTAATCCCAGGTACTCGGGAGGCAGAGGCAGGAGAATTGCTTGAACTTAGGAGGCGGAGGTTGCAGTGAGCCGAGATGGCACCACTGCACTCCAGTCTGGGCAACAGCCAGTTCCCAACAAGTTCCTCATCTCCATCTGAGACCACATCAGCCTAGACCTTATTGTTCATATCACTATCAGTACTTTCGTCAAAGCCATTCAACAAGTCTCTAGGTAGTTCCAAACTTTCCCACATTTTCCTGCTTCTTCTGAGCCCTCCAACCTCTGCCTGTTACCCAGTTCCAAAGTTGCTTCCACATTTTCAGGCATCTTTTCAGCAATGCCCCCCTCTACTGGTACCAATTTACTATATTAGTCTGTTTTCATGCTGCTTACAAAGACATACCCGAGACTGAGAAGAAAAAGAGATTTAATAGGACTTACAGTTCCGCATGGTTGGGGAGGCCTCAGAATCATGGCGGAGGGCGAAAGGCATGTCTTCCATGGCGGCGGCAAGAGAAAATGAGGAAGAAACAGAAGCAGAAACCCCTGATAAACCCATCAGATCCCATGAGACTTATTCACTATCATGAGAATAGCATGGGAAAGACCAGCCCCCTATGATTCAATTACCTCCCCCTGGGTCCCTCCCACAATACGTGGGAAATCTGGGGGATACAATTCAAGTGGAGATTTGGGTGGGGGCACAGCCAAACCACATCACCAGTCTAAAAAGACTGGGAACCCCCTGACAAGTAAGATACTAAGCAGCACACTCTGCTCTGAATGTGCCGAGCACTCAAGGTCATTTGTATTAAGTCCCATACATAAGGGACTTTTGTCATGGCAATGCTTGTTTGTCCCTGTTAGTCCTGGGAAAGTCCAATCACAGGAGTTATCACAGATTAACAGGTCTGTGGCTGGCAGCCTCTCACAAATTTGTGGGATACTTAAGGCACCCCATGAGTAAACACCATCCTTAGCTGTCTATGGCAGCAAGCCTCTTGCTAGCTTAGCCTATTTCTTTTTTGAGACAGAGTCTCGCTCTGTCACCAGGCTGGAGTGCAGTGGCATGATCTCGGCTCACTGCAACCTCTGCCTCCCAGGTTCAAGTGATTCTCCTGCCTCAATCTCCTAAGTAGCTGGGATTACAGGCATGCGCCACCACATCTGGCTAATTTTTTGTTATTTTCAGTAGAGATGGGGTTTCACCATGTTGGCCAGGCTGGTCTTGAACTCCTGACCTCAGGTGACCTACCTGCCTCAGCCTCCCAAAGTGCTAGGATACAGGTGTGAGCCACCAGGCCCGGCTATCTTAGCCTATTTCTGAGAATGTGTTTTTTGGGAAGGATCATAGGAGGGGGTGCATCTTCTGCACTCATTTTATTTTATTTATTTTATTTTATTTTTTGAGATAGAGTCTCGCTCTGTCTCCCAGGCTGGAGTGCAGTGGCATGATCTCGGCTCACTGTAAACTCCGCCTCCTGGGTTCACGCCATTCTCCTGCCTCAGCCTCCCGAGTAGCTGGGACTACAGGCGCCTGCCACCATGCCCAGCTGATTTTTTGTACTTTTAGTAGAGATGGGGTTTCACCATGTTAGCCAATATGGTCTCGATCTCCTGACCTTGTGATCCGCCTGCTTCGGCCTCCCAAATTGCTGGGATTACAGGCGTGAGCCACCGCACCCGGCCCATTCATTTTAAATACACCACAAACACCTATGCTCTTCTAAACCTGGAAAGCTACCTCCAGAACTTTCCATAAAAAAATGATTATTGGTTTGAGTCACTTATGGAATAAATAAATTGGCTGGAATCAACCTAGGTGCCCATCAACAGTGGATTGGATAAAATGTGGTACGTATACACTACGGAATACGACACAGCCATAAAAAGCAACAAAACTGTGTTCTTTGCAGCAATGTGGATGCAGCTGGAGGCCATTATCTTAAGTGAACTAACGCAGAAACAGAAAATCAAATACTGCATGTTCTCACATTTTTTTTCTTTTTTTTGAGACGGAGTTTCACTCTTGTTACCCAGGCTGGAGTACAATGGTGTGATCTCGGCTCACTGCAACCTCGGCCTCCCAGGTTCAAGTGATTCTCCTGCCTCAGCCTCCCAACTAGCTGGGACTACAGGCATGCGCCACTACGCCTGGCTAGTTTTGTATTTTTAGTAGAGACAAGGTTTCTCCATGTTGGTCAGGCTGGTCTTGAACTCCCAATCTCAGGTGATCCGCCTGCCTTTGCCTCCCAAAGTGCTGGGATTACAGGCGTGAGCCACCGCACCCGGCCACATTCTCACTTATAAGCGGAAGCTAAACGTTGGATACACATGGACATAAAGATGGAAACAATAGTCACTGGGACCTGCTAGAGCAGGGAGAGTAGGAAAGTAGGAGAGTGAGAGAGGGGAGAGGAGAAGGGGAGAGTGAGAGAGGGGGAGAGGAGAAGGGGAGAGAGAGAGAGGGGGAGAGGAGAAGGGGAGAGTGAGAGAGGGGAGAGGAGAAGGGGAGAGTGAGAGAGGGGAGAGGAGAAGGGGAGAGTGAGAGAGGGGGAGAGGAGAAGGGGAGAGAGAGAGAGGGGGAGAGGAGAAGGGGAGAGGTGGAGGGAGAGGGGGACAAGAGTTGAAAAAGTACCTATCGGGTACTATCCTCACTACCTGGGTGAAAGGATGCTTTGCACCCCAAACCTCAGCATCATGCAATATACCCATGTAACAAATCCACACATGTATCCCCTGAATCTAAAATAAAAGTTGAAATTTTGAAAAAACATAATAAATAAGTTAAAAAGTTATATTTTAAAAGAAAACTTTTTAGAGAGCTCTTGTCTCTTTTTTTTTTTTTTTTGAGACAAGGTCTCACTCTGTCGCCCAGGCTGGACTGCAGTGGCGCAATCTCTGCTCACTGCAACTTCAGCCTCCCGGGTTCAAGCAATTCTCCTGCCTCAGCCTCCCCAGTGGCTGAGATTACAGGTGCGCACCACTATGCCCAGGTAATTTTTTTTTTTTTTTTTTTGTATTTTTAGTGGAGACAGGGTTTCACCATCTTGGCTAGCTGGCCTCGAACTGCTGACCTCAGGTGATCCATCTGCCTCAGCCTCCCAAAGTGCTGGGATTACAGATGTGAGCCACCGCGCCCGGCCACTAAGAGCTCTTGTCTTAAACAGCTTTCTTATTGGTACCTATGAAAAGACACAAAAGGAATATATAGCCTTAGAAACTCCCTTAGCAGGATTTCTTTTTTTAAGGCAGAAATCAGATTTACAACTAAGTTATAAATCCTTTGTGTAGCTGGATTCACTGATTTATGCCTGTAATCCCAACACTTCGGGAGGTCAAGGAAGGCTTGCTTGAGCCTAGGAGTTTGAGAACAGACTGGGCAACATAGGGAGATCCCATCTCTACAAAATAAATAAACAAATAAATGAGTCAGGCATCGTGACACACGCCTGTGGTCCCAGCTACTCAGCCAGGGGTAGGCAGGAGGACTGCTTGAGCCTAGGAGGTTGAGGCTGCAGTAAACCATGAGCACACCACACTGCACGCCAGCCTGGGTGACAGAACGAGACTTTGTCTCAAACAAATATATATATATGATATAAAAAATATATATTTCTAACATGTATATGTTATATATGTATAATATATATCACATATAATATATATGTCACATATATAATATATATATCACATATATAATATATATGTCACATATATAATATATATGTCACATATATATATATATATATATATATATATATATATATATATATATATAGTGCGCCCAAGCTGCCTGTTTTGGATCCCCCTGGGATTTACAAAGAAGACGGGCCACCCTAATCTAGGGCCTGGGTTCCATGCTTTCACCACCACAGCCTGGATTTGATTCCCAGTCAGGAAACCAGACTCTTGGAAATGCAAATCTTTTAACTCAGGACAAAACAAATAGAAACATTTGTAAAAAGTTAGTTTGGTATTTGCATAACTCTGACCTTTTGGGGTACCCTTTCACTTTGCAATCCTGTCTATTCCCACAGACAGCTTTTGACTTCCCATCTTACAAACTGCCATGCAATCTTCCGTCTGTGGGAGATACGGGTTGTCAGGCCTTTGTGTGCAGTCAGCCAGCTGAGAGGCTGAAACCCTAGATAATATGGCCAGACAGTAGCCCCATTTGCAGCTACTAAAATTCTCCTTTATTTGAGCTGCCTGGAGTGGTCTGGATCTGAGCAGGGTTGCAACTTTTGCCTCCTCTCTGGAGACCTTGGTGAAAGCCGTGAAAGGCTTCTTGGTTCTGGTCTCCTTGGTGCTTATTTCACTTGGCGTTGAGTCATTTGTTCAGGTATACCTTTGATAGAAAACTGGTTTGTATTTAGAGTGTGATAGCAACTTTTTTCTTTTGTCTCGCTTCCTCCCGTGGGCAGAAGAGACGTGTGTCTCCCACCACTGCTGGGAAGCTGAAGAGAGGCAGGGCTCCTCCCATGAGCAGAGCGGGTGGGAGCGCTCCACAGCCGAAATTCTTTCCACTCCAGTGTTAGGCCACGTGCTCATGAAACAGAAAGCTTGCTGCTTGTGTATTTTCAACACACCCTTCTGCTTTTTCTTTTTTCTTTTAGTTTTTGGGGGATTTTTCCCTGGCAGATATATAGAGCAATGCTTTTTCTCTTTGGATCCTGTTCCTACCCTGGGAATTCTTTTCAGTCAACTGAAATTTTGTTAAAAAGCAATTTTATGTTCCTTCCATCTGTTCACTTTTTTGTTGTTGTTGTTGTCGGCATGATTTTTACTGAGAAAAATGTAAAACATCCTTGGCCTTTTTGGGAAGTTTAAAATCTTCCCAAATTGAGCCCTCTAAGAATTGTTTTCCCATTTACTGTTGGCCCTTCTTCCTTTCTGCCACCTTCAATAACACACGAAGAAATCAAGAGGGAACTTCTAGCAGTCCTGAGACCCCTTGAGAAACCAGAAAAAGGTGCCATACACCCTCCTTTTGGGGGTCTTTTGTCTTCCTCACGGAGCCCCAAGGGTCATGGGCAGGTTACTCTCAAGTCTAAAGCGCCGCAGTCTTTTGCATTGAGTTCCCTGATATTTTCATTTTTTTGAGACACAGTCTGTCTCTGTCACCTAGGCAGGGGTGCAGTGGTGCATTTGTGAGAAACACACTCACCCATCCAAACCCAAAGAATGGACTTAGAGGCACAAAGAACAGCGAAAGGGAGACTTTTCATAACGGTCTTGCGAGATCGGGTGTCTGGTGAGCAGGCACAACCAGGGCGGTCACAACGGGTAATTTATGTCCTAGCACACAAGTCCCTCCCCCAGTTCCTCACTGGTTGAGTACTGTGGGGTTACAATCTTCCCGGACATCGCCTAACTTTCATTATCCCCCTTACAAAGTTATACCCCGTCCTCTTCCCCACTTAAGTTTTGATTTCCCCATAACAAAACTTTCTTCCCTTTTATGAGCTGACCACACCTCTACATTCTGTCCACTTACTGTGACCTTCTGGGTGCATGAGCCATGTGGTTTCTTACATTTGCAGGCTGGCTGCCAGTGCTTAGACTTATCATGCCTTGCAAATGGACCATTTAAAAGGTTTTCTCACCAATTCCCTCCTCTTTTCTATTTACTTATTTTGTTCTCATTTTCTTTTAAACCCTTTTGGGCCGTGAATCGCTCCAGAAGTTGTTTACTTTCTTCCTCATAGGAGAGTGAGTTTAATTTGCTTTCTAATAGTGGCAGGTTATTTTGCTGGTAAGTCATGGGCATTTGTTTATTAATAGCTGTTTTAATTAATTTCTGTGCTAGTCCCCTCACACAAGGGATAATACAACATTCCACTGCTATTAAGAATCCTGCCACAATTATGAGAGATATAAGGATTGAAGCTACCATTCCTTTCCATTTTCCAAATCAGCCTTCTAGCCAACCCGTAAATGGGTCATTAATTCCGAGCATTTCTTCCAGTTCGTTGGCTAGAGTTGTTAGTCCTTGTAAAGCTTTTGTGATGGTCCCATTTGGGGCAGTATTGCTGGGAATGAAAGTACAAAATTTCCCGCCCAGCATAACACACACGCTCCCTTTTTCTCTAGTATCATGTCTAGCGCAAGTCTGTTTTCCCAGGCCATTTAGCTGGTGGCATCTAACTGGCTAGCCACCCTTTGAGGGCATCCCAAGTATAATTGATGAATTCCTGTTGATTATAATAGATGGAGTTAATTTAATTCGCATTCTTCTTAATAGTTGACCAGCAGAAGTGTCCTGACTTTAAACCCAGCACCTACTGCGTTTCAGGCCTTCAATTTATTAGGCAACCCTACCCCCACCAGGGTCTCCTATTGAGTCAACATACACATTGGGATTAAAAGAATTTGTGAAATCTCTCTGGTTTCAGTGGCCATGTGTATTTTGGGGTATCTTATGGGATGCCAGGGTGAAGGGAATGGCCAATGAGACTAAAGCACAAGTCCTGGTCCCATTGGACAGTAACAGGTTACGTAGGTTCCTTTTCCCATAATACTACCAGACATCAGCCCGGGGTGTATGGAGAGCTGAGTAATTGCCATTGCTCAACTCACCAGTGACGTTTAGGATGTGGGTACAAGTTGAGAGTTCTCCCATAGGCTTATGGAACTCTGCCCCCTGTCTAGAGAGGCAAGAGGAGTAGTTCATGTTCTCTGCAGAGAACGAGGGTATTGCTCTGGGATCTGAGCTCCGCAATGCAGGAAACAGCAATGAAAGACTCTTACAAGTCTTACTTCTCCTTACTTATATCATTGTGCTGGTATGCAGCCAACATGCAACACATTCCTCTAGAATCACTATTCCATCCCAGGGGAAACGGAACCACCTGCGCCTGAGGTGGTCCTGCAGCACACGCGTAGCAGTTACTTTTGCTGAGGGCTTGTACCGAAAATATGACCCATTTGACCCAGGCATTCACATCCCTATACCCTGTCTCAATTTCTAAGGTTTGCCTTAAATCCTTTACCTCAATTATTGTTACCATTTTAGGGTTAATATTTGGTAGACTAAAGTGTTTATTAGGGTCTGGGGTTGGAGTAGTTCCAGGCAAATGGGAGGTTGAGTTCTTGATTAGCCTGAGATCAAATCGACCTGGGGGTCTTTCCTTGTGATGTCTTCTCCTAACCCATATACCTGAGATGCTACTTTTGGTTCTTGGTCTAGAAAGGCTGAATTGTCAAGGGTGATGAGTATAGGATGGCATTCTAAATTCTGGCAGTTATTTGGTGGGGAGCGCTTGGACAGAGGTAGTTTATGCTTCAAGGGTTTCCAGTTTGGAGTTACCCACACCATGTTTACTGTCCAACCCTGAAATTGGGTAGCGCACCATACATCCTCCCAGCTGGGGAAGGGTGATGCCCTACTGCAACCTGCATCTGGTTCAAGGCAAAGAGATTTATCTGCCTGCGAGAGCTGTCTCTGATTTTCTAAATTCCCACAAGGTAAAACCTGACAGGCATCAAATCTTATAGTTTGGGGTGCTACCGTCTTAATCATATTAATCACCAACCTGATTGAGCAGTGGGGAGTCCCCTGCCAGTTTCCATTTTGACCTTCTGCTCTTTGTATACTAACCCATCCCAGCCTTATTACCTTTCAGAAATGCAGCCAGCCCACGCTTTCTTTCTAAATTTTTCTCAGAGTTAACTTTAAGTGTTCGTCAGGTGACCCATGCACTTCCCACTGTTCTTTCTCCTTCCCTTTCCAGGTCTCTTTTACCGGCCTCTTGATTCCAGTGTAGTGAGTCCACCCCCATTCAGCTGTTCGCAGGGCTGTCTCAGGGGCAGAGGCACTTGACAGGGACCTTCCCAGCTTGGGTGGAGCTTGTCTTCTTTCCAAATCTTAGTCAGCACCAAGTTGCCAGGCTGGAAGTAGTGAACCATGAACTCAAGAGGCAGAGCTTGCGTCAGAAGACCTTTTAACCTGAGGGATGACAGGGTGGAAGATATGGCCAGTATATCATTTCTTAAGAATTGGTTTTTGGTTTCCATAGTGGGAGGATCTGTAGCCCTGCCCAAATATGGGAGTCCATATAATAACTTGTAGGGGACAATCCCAAGTCTTTTCTGGGGACTGTCCGAATCCTAATCCTAAAGCCATGGGAGATATTTGGTCCAAGGCACTTTAGTTTCTAAGTTTAGTTTGGTGAGATGCTTTTTGAGAGTTTGGTTTATTCTTTTTACCTTTCCACAGGATGCCAAGGGGTGGGATAATCCCATCAAATTTGTAAACCTTCCATAATTCCCCTTAACACTCTTGAAATAGCTTCCTTTCTAATCTCGTGCGGTTCAAAGAAATCACTTCTCTTTTAACAAAGGGTAGCCTGAAAGTTCAGGCTATAAACTACAGATAAACAACTTAAGCATAGAAGGAGGCGGGGGATGTCTCCTGGGTAAACACCAAACTTCACACTCCCACAGTCGGGCCCAGTATAAACAGTGGGCCTTAATAAGCACATTCCTTTCCCTTTAGGCACATTAAGATAGGGAAGCTAAAGCTGACTGGGATGGGGGGGCGGTGGGAGATGCCTGCAGCTGCAAAAAGATGGCTGGGAATAGACACAGAATCTCTCCCTCCCAGATAAGCAACACAAAGAATTAGAGTATTGGCCAGGCACAGGCTCAAGCGTGTAATCCCAGTACTTTGGGAGGCTGAGGCGGGTGGATTACCTGAGGTCAGGAGTTCCAGACCAGCCTGGCCAATGTGGTGAAAGCCCATCTCTACTAAAACTACAAAAAGAAATTTGCTGGGTGTGGTGGCACGCACCCAGCTACTCAGGAGGCTGAGGCAGAAGAATTGCTTGAACCCGGGAGGTGGAGGGTGCAGTGAGCTGAGATCATGCCATTGCACTCCAGCCTGGATGACAAGAGTGAAACTCCATCTCAAAAAAAAAAGTATTATATGGTGACATGCAGGGTTCTAACAGTCCATTTTTAATTAATCCCTCTATTACTGGTTGGAGATCTTTTCTCCCTTCAACAGAAATGGGATATTGTTTTCTGCAAACTCCTCCTGGTTGTTTTAGTCCAATCTGTAAGGCTGTGATTCTTAAGTGTCCCCGCTTGCCTTTCCCAAACCACAAAACGGGACTAATTTTTCTTCCCTCCTCCTCTGTTAGGAGGCCCATCCTTACTTTCATTTGTCCTTTCTGTGTATCCCTAATCCTAAACTGAATCTCACAATCAGGTCTCTACCCACTAGGTTAGTTCCTGCTTCAGGAATATATAAGAGTGACCCCTCAATGTGTTCTGGTCCCAGTCTAATTAACATTGTCTTGAATATCAGAACCTGTAATCCCTCCCCTTTTACGCCTAATACTTTCAGTTTTTCCTTAGAGAGTTCTGTACCCTTTGGTTTGTGGATTAGGGAGGAGTGAGCTGCCCCAGTGTCAACCAAAAATGTCACTTCTTCTCCCTAAGGTCCCGCCTTCCAATTTATCAAGGGTTCTTGGTGGGACCTACTCAGAAGGAAGCCCTGACCCCCATTGTATTCATCAACGGTCATGAGGGGGATCATCTCTTCTTCTTTTTTCCATTGAGGACATTCTCTCTTAAGATGCCCTGGCTTTCCACACTTGTAACATCTAGCCACTCATAGTCTTAGGAGGTTTCCCCTGCATTTCCTTTCTTTCTCTGTGTCGAAATCTATCATTCCCTTGTCTCATTTGAGGGGGATCTTGAGCTAATCTTTTTTTGGCTACCTCTTCCACAGTGGAAATCATGATGTTCCCTTTCTGTTTCTGCTTCTCTTCCCCTCTTTTCACAAAGACCTTCTGAGCTTCACTCAGTAATTCCTCAATCGGTTTCTCATTCCATCCATCAATCTTTTGTAATTTTTTTTTTTGTAATGTCAAGCCAGCTTTTAGTAACAAAGTTAATCTGCAACAGGCCTTGCCCTACTGGGTCCTCCGGATCTAATCTGGAGTATTTTCTCATCTCTGAGCCTCTGCAGGAATGTGAAGGGAGTTTTCTCTTTTTCTTGTTGAATCTCAAATGCCTTTGAGACATTTTGTGTCCTAGGAGTGTACTCTTTGATCCCTTGAATTACTAGTTTCCTGAGGTCCTGCATTTGGGCCCAGTCCCTGGGATCATTATTATCCCATTCGGGATCAACATTTGGAAATTTTTGTTTGGCTGGCAAGTCTCACTGCCCAGGAGGGTGTTGCTTCTCCCCACTGGTCATGGCCACTCTCCTAATCATTCCCCTTTCTTCTCCCGTGAACAGGATATTCATGATAGACATCATTTCAGCCCAAGTGTAAAAGCTGGGTCCTAGGAATTGGTCCAGCTGGTCTGCTAAACCCAGGGGATCTTCTAGGAGTGGTTTCATTTCCTTCTTGCAATTCCTAACTTCAGTACTTGCAAGAGGAGTGTTTACAAAGCCAATCTCTCCCTGTCCCATGGGAACTTCCCTAAGAGGGAACATGCTAGATGCCTGCTGTGTGGAAGGGATAGGGAAGTTCTCAATATCCCTCTTACACTCTTGTAATTCTTTTCTTAAATTTGGATAAGGATTTAAAGGAGCAGTTGGCTTGGCTCCCCTGTAGTCTCTGGGTCTTTCTTCCTCTAACCCTCCTGCTGCCCCTTGATCTTCCTGTCCCCTTTTTTGTGAGACGTATGAAGGGGCAAGCACGATAGGGGGTCCCAGGGCTTTTCACTGGGTGAGGGCTCTTCACCAGGCTCTTTTTCTTCTTTTTTGAGGGGGATCATGGGGGCTAATTCCTTGATTCAGCAGAGAGTAACCTATCTCTTCTTGTGAGGATGAAGTTTTATTATTCACAGAGAGAATTAAAGCTTAGAACACAATCCTCATCTGAGCCAAACTTAGGCCAAAAGACAGAAGGCTTATGAATGGGGTCTTTGGGCCAGACAAAACAGCAATACTTTATCATCTTTTCCTTTTCCTTGTCCCTGGTTCGAGGGTTGTTCCACCAAACCTGCAACAATCTCCCCAAAGGACTATCCAGGGGAATGTCAGACGGAGTCTCTTTGGCTCCCTCTTTCCTTTGGCTCCCAGGCCTAGAATTCCTGTTTCCCATTTTCTGCCAGTCTCTGCGTCTGAGTTTTTCCCTGTCTACTCAACCCCCCTTACTGGAGGTTTCTTGCACACCCCGAGACCTCCAAAAATGCCCCATGACCAAGGCAGTACTTACAGTCCAATTTTCCTTCCTTGGCTGGTGCATGAGTTTGCCTGGTTCCCGCAGTGCCTGCTTTTCTCCCTGTGTTGCTTCTGCTGCCTCCTGAATAATAGTCTTGGGTTTGTTTATGCCTTCTATGGGAAGCTGGGATGCCCAGATAGAGCGGGCCACCTAAATCAGGTGGGACACATCTCCCCTCTCGGCCAAAGTCCCACTTCACACAGGCACATGGATCCCAGATGGGCCCCCATGCTTGTGAGAAACACACTCACCTGTCCAAATCCAGAGAATGGACTTAGAGGCCTGAAGAACAGTGAAAAGGAGACATTTAGTAACGGTCTTGCAAGATCAGGTGTCTGGTGGGCAGGCACAACTGGGGCAGTCACAACAGGTAATTTATCTTCTAGCACACAAGTCCCTCCGCTAGTTCTTCATTGGTCGAGTACTATGGGGTTACGATCTTCCCGGATGTCATCTAAGTTTCATTGTCCTCCTTGTAAGGTTATACCCCAGTCTCCTTCCCTGCTTAAGTTTCTTCTTTCTTTTTCTTTTCTTTTCTTTTTCTTTTGAGACAGAATCTCACTCTGTCACCCCGGCTGGAGTGCAATGGCACAATCTTGGCAAACTGTAACCTCTGCCTCCTGGGTTCAAGCAATTCTCCTGCCTCAGCCTCCTGAGTAGCTGGGATTGCAGGCGCTTGCCACTACACCTGGCTAATTTTTGTATTTTTAGTAGAGATGGGGTTTCACCATGTTGGCCAGGCTAGTCTCGAACTCCTGACCTCAGGTGATCCACCTGCCTCAGCCTTCCGAGATGCTGGGATTACAGGTGTGAGCCACTGCGCCCAGCTCCCACTTAAGTTTTGATTTCCCTATAACGAAACTTTCTTCCCTTTTATGGACTGACCCCTTCTCTACATTCTGTTTGCTTATTGTGACCTTCTGGGTGCATGAGCCATGTGGTTTGTTACATTTACAGACTGGCTGCCAGTGCTTAGATTTATCAGGCCTTGAAAATGGACCAGTGAAAATGTTTTCTCACACAATTGAAGCAGGATATTTCCTTGACCCTTTTGTGGGCAGAAACCGGGGCGCACGGGTGCTAGAACCAGCCAGCTGCTTTGGCACCAGCAGAGGCAAACTCCATTCACTACTGCTCCACTCCTCGGAGAGGGAGCACCAGTGAGTAGGTGCAGAAGCCTGAGTGAGTGCTTTTGGGTGCTGGCAAAAGCGAACTGCATACCGGCCCCACAGCAGCATTTAGGGGAGAGTGCCCACAATCCCTCAAGCCCCAGAAGAAGTGTTACAGTGCCCTTTTAGCTTTGCCGTCCATGGCCAGCTTCAGTGTTAACAGCTCAGTGGAGGGTCAGTGTGACAGCCTTTTGCACTCACACTCATGGCACCTGAGTTCTTGCCTGGTGTCCAGGAGGAATCAGGTCACATGAATGAAAAGATGGTAAATGTGGGGGATTTTATTGCCAATGAAAGTGGCTCTCAGTGGCAAAGGGAGCTGAAAAGGGGATGGAGCAGGAAGGTAATCTTCCCTTGAAGTCTGGCCATCCCCAGCTGGACTCCTCTCTAAAGCTATGCTGTCAAGCTGTCCCTCTGAAGTCAAGCCACTTCTCAATCATATCCAACCACAGTCTGCGAAGTCCAGCTGCCTCCCCTCTCTCTGCCAGTTGAGCCTGGGGTTTTTATGGGCACGGGATGGGGGACAGAGCAGGCCACAGGTGGTTTTGGAAAAGGCACCATTTGAATGGGAAAACAGGGATGTAAGTTCTCACTTTGGGCGGCAGTATCAGGCTTTTCAGATTGAAGGTGGGGCCTTGGCTGGGGAACTGCCCTCCCAGAATTTCTCTGCCTTCTGTTCCTATGACGATCATGGCTCACTACAGCCTCAAACTCCCAGGCTCAGGTGATCCTCCCACCTCAGCCTCCCAATTAGCTGGGACAACAGGCGCACATCACCACACACCTTGCTAATTTTTTTGTACCCATGGGTTTTCACCATGTTGCCCTGGCTGTTCTTAAACTCCTGGGCTCAAGTGATCCTCCTGCCTCAGCCTCCCAAAGTGCTGGGATTATAGGCATGAGTCACTGCACCCGGTCTGAGTTTCCTGATATTTTTTGGCTTTTATGGGTACCAGGAGTATTTTGTATTGTAAGAGCACATTACCTTCGGGTGTGTTACGGCTGGTGAGTCACTGGCAAGTGTAATCTTGGAGGTGGCAGACTACAGTTGTGGCAAATGGTTACTACTATAGGGGAGTACTCATTTCTTTGAACATTTAGATAAGAAATGTGAAGTTTGGAAACTTGGAGACTGTAGGAACACTTAATACTGGAAAAAAAGATACCCATGAGAGATGGGCTGATCACACAGTGGGCTGACTGGCACTGGGCCATCCACCAGCCCAGGGGGAATACCTTTGCAGCAAGGTGCATGGTGGAAGTGTTGCTCAGCCTGGCCCATGACATTTCCCTCTTGGGCTTTTAACACAGCTCTGAGACACCCAGGACTCCATGTAAAAACAGGGTCTTTGATTTCTGAGGATCTGGGTGTTCTGCCTTCCAGCTGTGCTTGCTTTTCAAATACATAAGTATTAGGCCCTGAAAACTGCAAATGCTTTGTTGGCCCTATTCATTAATGGGCTCTGCACTGAGCTCAGTGGTGCAGCTGGAAAATGAAGACCAAATTGGAAACCACCCATTTGGAAATGGGAGTTCAGCTCCGTCTGAAATGGGGGAGGGATACAATGATTAAGGGAACCCATTTCTAATAGGTACTACATTGAAAACTACCTAAAATTGGTCTCCTTATATGCTCTTGTAAATTCCTATGATTCTGTGTTAACCTTGGCATCCATTTTTAACCTCCCTTTACCTAACACACACAAATTTCTTCTTAAAAATGTTTAAATTTGGCCAGGTGCAGTGGCTCATATCTGTAATCCCAGCACTATGAGAGGCCAAGGCAGGTGGATCACTTAAGGTCAGGAATTCAAGACCAGTCTGACCAACATGGCAAAACCCCGTCTCTACTAGAAATACAAAAATTAGGCCAAGCATGGTGGCTCATGCCTGTAATCCCAGCACTTTGGGAGGCTGAGGCGGGCAGATCACAAGGTCAGGAGATCGAGACCATCCTGGCTGACACAGTGAAACCCTGTCTCTACTAAAAATACAAAAAAAAAAATTAGCCGGCTGTGGTGGCACACGCCTGTAATCCCAGCTACTCGGGAGGCTGAGGCAGAAGAATTGCTTGAACCCAGGAGGCAGAGGTTGCAGTGAGCCGAGATCGCGCCATTGCACTCCAACCTGGGCAACAGCGTGAGATTCTGCCTCAAAAAAAACACAAAAACAAAAACAAAAATTAGCCAGGTGTGGTTGCAGGCGCCTGTAATCCCAGCTACTTGGGAGGTTGAAGCAGGAGAATCGCTTGAACCTGGGAGGTAGAAGTTGCAGTGAGCTGAGATCACTCCAGTGCACTTCAGCCTGGGTGACAGAGTAAGAGTCTGTCTCACCAAAAAAAAAAAAAAAAAAAAAAAAAGCTTAAATTCTCTCTCTCTGCTTTGAGGTGTAGATTTGCTGCCCTATATTCTCTACAACTCAGCTATGTGGGACAGATTAACTTGTTCCATTTACAGGGCCACAGTTTTAATCCAACTGTCCTTTCATTTATTTTTATTATTATTTTTTTCTTTAGAAACAGAGTCTCAGTCTGTCGCCCACACTGGAGTGCAGTGGTGCAATCACACCTCACTGCAACCTCCAACTTCTGGGCTGAAGTGACCCCACCCACCTCAGCCTCCCAAGCAACTGGGAATGCAGGCACACACAATCACACCCAGCTATTTTTTTTTTTTTTTTTAATTTTTTGGTAGAGATGAGGTCTGGCTACTTTGCCCAGGCTGGTCTCAAACTTCAGGCCACAAGCAATCCTCCTGTCTTGGCCTCTTCAAGAGTTGATGTATTAGTCATTTTCACATAGCTGATAAAGACATACCTAAAACTGGGTAAATTATAAAGAAAAAGAGGCTTAATGGACTCACAGTTCCACATGTCTGAGGAGGCTTCACAATCATGGTGGAAGGCAAAAGGCACATCTTACATGGCAGCAGGCAACAGAGAGAAAGAGAGCCAAGTAAAAGGGGTTTCCCTTTACAAAACCATCAGATCTCATGAGACTTATTCACTACCACGAGAATGGTCTGGGGGAAAACGCCCCCATGATTCAGTTATCTCCCACCAGGTCCCTCCCACAACACGTGGGAATTATGGGAGCTACAATTCAACATCAGATTTGGGTGGGGACACAGCCAAACCATATCAGTTGGATTACAGGTGTGAGCCACTACTCCTGGCCCCAAATGTCCTTTTAAATTAGTGAGTTTTTTCAGTCTCATGGCTAAAATTTTATTTTATTTTTGAGACAGGGTCTCACTCTGTCACCCAGGCTGGAGTGCAGTGGTGTAATCATGGCTCACTGCAGCCTCAACCTCCTGGGCTCAAGTGATCCTCCCACCTCAGCCTCCCAAGTAGCTGGGACTACAGGTGGGTGCCACCATGCCTGGCTAATTCTTAAATTTTTTTGTAGAGACAGGGTCTCACTGTGTGGCCCAAGCTGGTCTAGAACTCCTGGGCTCAAGTGATCCTACAGCTTTGGCCTCTCAAAGTGCTGGGATTACAGGTGTGAGCCACCACACCCAGCCTCTGCTAGATGTTTCAAAGTCATAAAACAGTTGTTTTGTGACATTTTGAATACTTGCTTGATTTGTCCGTGAGCTTATGTCTCTGGTGTTGAGCCTTTAGATTCTGGGGTCCAGACAGGTGGCCGTGGTGAGGCTTGGATTTAGTTTGGGGATCCACCAGGGGTAGATCTGATGAGATCTTGAGGCCGGGAGTTGAACACCAGCCAGGGCTTAGGTTTTATGGACACACAAGGCTTTGCATTGTGGACTTGCTCTGAATTCTTTCTTGCCTGAGATCTAAGAACCGTCTCTGGGAGCCTGGATTGGGACCCCTTTCCTGTAACAGATCTACCTCCTACTGGGTCCCCAAACCAGAACTATTCCTAGAGAAGGATGTCTCCTTTCCTCAAAAAAGAGAGCCCATAAAACTGTTGGAGGTAAGGGCTGTGCTAAAGCAAGCAGTGGTTTCTGATGGGCGGAGCCTCCCCTCACGCTTCCTGCTGGCAGATGTGAAAAGCCCTCCTTCAGAAATACGTCTATGAGTTATTTCCCAGATAAGAGCAATACACTCGGCCGAGCGCGGTGGCTCATGCCTGTAATCCCAGCACTTTGGGAGGCCGAGGCAGGTGGATCACAAGGTCAGGAGTTCGAGACCAACCTGGCCAATATGGTGAAACCCCATCTCTACTAAAAATACAAAAATTAGCTGGGCGCGGTGGTGGGTGCCTGTAGTCCCAGCTACTAGGGAGGCTGAGGCAGAAGAATCACTTGAACCCGGGAGGCGGAGATTGCAGTGAGCCGAGATCATGCCACTGTACTCCAGCCTGGGTGACAGAGTGAGACTACATCTCAAAAAAAAAAAAAAAAAAAAAAAAGCAATACACTCTCACATCTAATCTCCACCAGCCTCTTTCACTAAAAAATATCTGTGGAGACCCACCATGTTGAATAAAACATGCAGAACTCATAGGGTGAAAAACAACGGTGCAAGACCTGTTGAGAAGGGGGGGATTTCTTTCCAAGTTCAGAGGGGATGGATCGGAACGTTTTTGTCCAAGAGAGGTAACTGCCTATTTATTCTCTTCTCAAATGGAGTGGTATTTACTGGACGGGCCCCAGAAGCTGGGCCCATAACAATCCAGAGAAACTGAACTCCGAATGCTTCAAAAAGCCCTCAGTAGGAAAGACACTGGGAATCAGCGACTTTTCTGGAAAAGAGAAAAAGGGATTCCTCTTCCAAATTCACTGGAACCTGGTGAGGAGCCGTGGTTAAAGGTCACTGAGAGCTGAGCCCCAGAAGCCACTCGCCCTCAAGCGGTGATGAACTTTTCATTTGTGAATTTGGTGCAGCAGGTCCAAGAGGTTCTCTCTGGCTTATTCATTTAATTTCTGACACAAACAAAGCACTGGAACAACTGAGGGGTGAATACGGCAATTTCCCTTTAAAGGAGGTCCACTAGGAAAATTATTTACTGTAAAAATTTTTAAGAGCAACTTTCCTCCCTAGAAATGGGAAGACTGCGGTTCTGGTTAGTCCCGATTTGAATGATCTGCACAGTAATGTGGAGATAAACGTTCACCCCTAGGCCTCTTCCATTCATTTATGCCGGGAATTGGGTGAGACCCCAGCTGCACCCCTGCAAGGGAGCCAGGGCTGCAGGTCTTCCTGGGCCAAAGCTGCTGAGCGGGTGATCGGGGAGCCGGCGTCCGCTGCGGCCCAGCCTGGCGGAGAGGAGCTTGCGAGACTCAACCCCACCTCCCAAATTTCTGCGCGGATGCGCGCAGGGCGTGGCGAGATGAGCTCAGCGCCCCAGAGCCCGCCGGGCTCCAGGCCCACCTTGGAGACCCCCGCTCCAGCCGCCTGCCCCTCCTCTCCACTTCCCTGTAAGCACCAGGTGTAGGGCAGCTGCCTGCCCCGGAAAGCTGCTTGCACTTACTGGGGATGGGGAGGTGGGGGCCGGGGAGGGGAACCGTGCGAAGCCAGGGGACCCCTGGAGAGGGTTGGGGAGGAGTGGTGCTGGAGAGCATGGAGGTCTGACCCGAACATCGAGAAGGCTCTGGAATTCTAGACAGTCTTGCACCAGTCCCTGGTAGAAAGAGACCGAAACTGGGAGTGGTTGGGGCCCAGAAATTCTTCCAGCGCTTTAGGTCCTTCCTCTTTCCTGGCCTTGGTTTCAACTCAATTAGATAATACGATACTGGATAATTTCTGAGGACTTATCAGAGTCCCCAGAATTCTCAGAATTTGCTGATAGGAGCAGTTACATAGGAGCGGGGGGGGGGGGGGGCGGGACTTTTAGAAGAAATTATGTTAAGTAGACTGATGATGGTGAGACACAGGTTTTTGAAAGTGACACGAAGGATGGAAGTAAATTCTAATTCAACACACAATAAATGAGCATGCAAAGTAACTTTTTGTTTTTGTCTTTTGAGACACGGTCTCGCTCTATTGTCCAGGCTGGAATAGAGTGGTGCGGTCTCAGCTCACTGCAACCTCTGCCTCCCAGGTTCAAGTGATTCTCATGCCTCAGCCTCCCAAGTAGCTGGGACCATATGCCACACCACCACGCCAGGATAAAATTTTTTATTTTTGTTTTGTAGAGACGGGGTCTCCCTATATTGTCCAGGCTGGTCTGGAACTCATGAGCTCAACTGATCCTCCCACATAGGCCTCCCAAAATGCCGGGATTACAGGTGTGAGCCACCACGCCCGGTCCAAACATATGAATCTGGGGGGACATAACTGGAATGAATGTTTATGTCCCCCTAGATTCCTATGTGGAGATCTTAACCTCCATTGTGATGGCATTAGGAGGTGGGGCTTTGGGAGGTGATTAGGTCATGAAGATGGAACACCATAAATGGAATTAGTGCCCTTATAAAAGAGACCCCAGAGAGCTCTACCCACCCCCACCATAGAAAGATAGCCCTCTATGAACCAGGGAGGGGATCTCCACCATTTGATTATACCAGCACCTTGATTTTAGACGTCTAAGCCTCCAGAAATAAATGTTTGTTCATGTCACCCAGTCTGTGGTACAGGTTGAGTATCCCTTATCCGAAATGCTTGGGAGCAGTGGCGTTTTGGATTTTGGATTTTTTTAAATTTTGGAATATTTACAAATACATAATGAGATATCTTGAAGATGGGAACCAAGCCTAAACATAAAATTCATTTTTCTTTCTTTAAAAAAAGAAAAGCCAGTGTCTTGCTCTGTGGCCCAGCTGGAGTGCAGTGGTGGGGTCATAGCTCGCCGCAGTCTCAAACTTGGGCTCAGCCAGGTGCCATTGCACCCTTTTTAAAAATGTTTATTGATACAGCCTCCCTATGTTTCCCAGACTGATCTCAAACTCCTGGCCTCAAGCAATCCTCCTGCCTTAGCCTCCCAAAGTGCTGGGATTATAGGCATGAGCCACCACACCTGGCTCATTTATGTTTTATATACATCTTGTAGTTATAACCCAAAGCTACTGTTGTACAATATTTTAAAGAACAGGATATAACCATCACAAGGTCAAGTGTGCACTTTTCCACCTGCGGCGTCATCTTTTCTTGTCACTTGGCCAGTGAACCACAGACCTGCACCTCTCTCCTGGCCTTGGGGCTACAGTTTGTCCTTCTCAAATAGGCTAACTGAACCCTGCTACCTGTTAAGATGCCCTTAGCCTGATGAGAACCTTTCACTAACACCTTTGTTGTCTTTTTTGTTTGTTTTCAGAGACAGGATTTTGCACTATTGCCCAGGCTAGATGCAGTGGTGTAATCATAGCTCACTGCAGCCTTGACTTCCTGAGTTTAAACAATCCTTTCAAGGCCAGACGCAGTGGCTCATGTCTGTAATCCCAGTACTTTGGGAGGCTGAGGCAGGCGAATCACTTGAGGTCAGGAGTTCGAAACTAGCCTGGCCAACCTGGTGAAATCCCATCTCTACTAAAAATACAAAAATTAGCCGGGCATGGTGAGCACACCTGTAGTCCCAGCTACTCAGGAGGCTGAGGCAGGAGAATTGCTTGAGCTCGGGAAGCAGAGGTTGCAGTGAGCCGAGATGGTGCCACTACACTCCAGCCTGGGTGATGGAGCAAGACTCTGTCTCAAGAAAAAAAAAAATCATCTGAAGTAGCTGGGAATCTAGGTGTGAGCCACCATGCCTACTTAATTATTTGTTTTTTGTAGAGATGGTGCCTTTGCTGGTCTTTAACTCCTGGGCTCAAATGATCTGCCCACCTTAGCCTCCCAAAGTGCTGGGATTACAGGCATGAGCCACCATGCCTGGCCCACTTTGTTGCTTGAAAGACCCATTATAACATGTGACAGTGTTGATGAAAAAATGATGATACTACTGATTAAAGAACAGTTAGGCAGACTTTATTCAGGTGGCCAATGGAGATAAGTATAGGGACCACCACAGCAGTGTTTTACAGTGGGGAAGAGAGATTGGGCTCAACTCTGAACACAAGTAAAGGTGGAAATTTATAGCCAAGGAGCAGGGTGGGGGTCAGCAGAAAATTACTAAGAAGAAACACCATGGGCATGGGGATTCTGGCTGAACGGACCTAACAGGACTCTTGCTGAAGGCAGGCCATGGTGATCAGACTTTACCCGGGGGATGATGGAGGACAAGGAACCTGATCAGATATCACGGTGATCAGATACCACATCACCAGAGGCATGATGGAGGATGAGGAACTCAATCAGATATCAAGGGTGATCAGTATCAACGGTGCAGGATTCTGGCTAAACTGACTTAGCAGGATTAGACAATGTGCAGAGATAAACACAGAAGCCCAAAAATCAGGGCTTGAGAAGAGTTCAGGGAGCATGAGTAGAGTTTGGTCGAGAAAATCTTTGTCAATAGCAGTCCTGCTTTTTTTTTTTTCTTTTTTTTTTGATACAAAGTTTCCCTCTTGTTGCCCAGGCTGGAGTACAGTGGTGCGATCTCGGCTCACTGCAACCTCCGTCTCCCAGGTTCAAAGGATTCTCCTGTCTCAGCCTCCCAAGTCGCTGGGATTACAGACCTCTGACACCACGCCCAACTAATTTTCTGTATTTTTAGTAGAGACGGTGCTTCACCATGTTGGCCAGGCTGGTTTCCAACTCCTGACCTCAGGTGATCCACATGCCTCCCAAAGTGCTGGGATTACAGGTGGGAGCCATGACACCCGGCCTAGTCCTGCCTTCTTCTAACAGAATACAGCAGGAATTATCAGAGCATGTGCCTTTCTTGGGGATGCAGGCAAAAAATCATAAACTCCAGCCTGCAGAGTAAAAACCAAATTCTTCAGCATGGTGTACCGGGGGGCCTCCAGGTCTTATTGCCAAGTCTGTCACACAGTTCCCTCCAAATAGTGTTTTCAGGAGGCTTGGCCAGGCGCGGTGGCTGGCGCCTGTCATCTCAGCACTTTGGGAGGTCAAGGTGGGCAGATTGCTTGAGGCCAGGAGTTTCTGAGACCAGCCTGGCCAACACGGCAAAACCCCATCTCTACTAAAATTACAAAAATTAGCCGGGCATGGTGGTGCATGCCTGTAATTCCAGCTACTTGGGAGGCTGAGGAATGAGAGTTGCTTGCACCCGGGAGGCAGAGGTTGCAATGAGCTGATCGCACCACTCCACTCCAGCCTGGGCGACAGAGTGAGGCTCTGTCTCAAAAAAAAAAAAAAAAAACAGGCCCCACCTTTGTGTAGGTCTCCTGGATGCCCTTCCCTCTTTCTTTTAAGCTGGGGAATCCCCAATAAGCCTGAAACAAAACCTAAAAGATGCCCCCTTGGAGCCACCCCTGGCTGATGACAGGGCAGGGAAGTCCAGAGCTAATGTGGACCTGCTGATTGTCCTGCTAGTTCTTCTCCAAATGCACTGTGCCCTAGTCACCTGTAGGCTGCCCCTCCTGGCTGTGAACACCTCTGTAGGGAATGAAGCTTCTTGTTCTTGGGGTTAAGATGATACCCCAAAATGAAAACCTCAGTAGCAGCCTCAGAAGCAAATTTTCTGACCTTCTCCTGCCTTCCTGTCTCTGGCCTCTCATTTTCCCGAGGCCAACAATAGAAACTAGAATTCTTCTCCAAAGTGAAACCAGAACCCCCTTTTCCCTAAAGCCAGCCATTATACCTAAAAATATTAATCTAACTTCCCCCAACCTTCTGTATAAAAACTGACCATAAATAAATAATCTGACCTACCTTTTTTGATGGTAGGTCATAAGAACCCCCCCCACCATTCCGTAGAGGGGCTGCCCCATAGCCAGAAGACATGCTGCACAGGAAAGCCAGGAAGAATCTAAGCAGATGCCCTGCTGGCTTTCCCCACTCAGCCTGTTAGCCTTAGATCATGCCCTTTTCCCCAATCATTTCTCTGCGTTGCTATCTACACTTTGTTGAACCTCAGCATAAAAATAGACAGTTTTCCGCTGGGTGCGGTGGCTCTCGCCTGTAATCCCAGCACTTTGGGAGGCTGAGGTGGGCCGATCACCAGGTCAGGAGTTCAAGACCAGTCTGACCAACATGGTGAGACCCCCATCTCTACTAAAAATACAAAAATTAGCTGGGTGTGGTGGCATGTGCCTGTAGTCCCAGCTACTCAGGAGGCTGAGGCAGGAGAATCGCTTGAACCCAGGAGGTAGAGGTTGCAGTGAGCTGAGATTGTGCCATTGCAATCCAGCCTGGGTGACAGAGCGAGACTCCATCTCAAAAAAAAAAAAAAAAAAATAGACAGTTTTCCCTGTGTCTCTGGGCCTTCATTCTGAAGGCCTCTGAGTCATTTAGAACTATGAGTCATTAGAACTACGATCGAACAAATCTGTATGCCTTTTCTCCTATTCATCTGAATTTTGTCAGTTGATTTTTCAGCAGATCTTCAGAGGGCAATTCCCTCGGCTGCTACGCTGTCTTGTTGGTGGGAGGGGGGACTCACCAGGGAGGCATTTTGCTCCTCTCCCCGGGAGGTGCCGCCCGCCTCGTTGCATTACTGTCAGTCTCACTTATTTCATCTTCCGATTGCACCCGTGGGGTTTCCAGGTCATCCAGAATAAGCCCCACTTGCTCACGCTTGAGTGAGGCTGCTGTCTGATTTGATACCCAGTAAATGCCAAGTTGAATTAACTCAGAGGGAAAGAAAGAAAGGCACTGAGATCTGTTGGCAATTATCTCGATATTCCATGAGACAACTCAACAAAAGGCAACCAGAATTCAAAAGAGCTGATGGATCGGAGTTGGAGGACATTGTCAATTTTAACCAGTGAGGTGTGGGAACTAAAAGGCAGGGGAAAAGCAGGTCATGGGGTGTGTGCCTGTAATCCCAGCTACTTGGGAAAATCACGTGGGCCTAGGAGTTCAAGATTGCCTGGGCAATGTGGCAAGACCTCGTTTCAAAAAAAGGAAAAAGTGGGCCAGGCACGGTGGCTCACGCCTGTAATCCCAGCACTTTGGGAGGCTGAGGTGGACGGATCACAAGGTCAGGAGTTTGAGACCAGCCTGGCCAGCATGGTGAAACCCCGTCTCTACTAAAAATACAAAAAATTAGCCGGGCGTGGTGGCAGGCACCTGTAGTCCCAGCTACTTGGGAGGCTGAGGCAGGAGAATGGTGTGAACCCGGGAGGTGGAGGTTGCAGTGAGCCTAGATCGCACCACTGCATTCCAACCTGGGCGACAGAGCTAGACTCCATCTCAAAAAAAAAAAAGTGTTGGTGGGTAAAGCTGAAGGTGACAAGCTTCAAGTCTCAGTGCAGGGTTTCAGCTTTACAAGACATTTAATGTGAACAGTCTGGTAACAATCATTATAAAACAAGCAGAAAAGTAGGATGGCAGCAAGTTTCCTAAGACTGTCAGTCAAGTCAGTGGGTGTCAGAGGAAACAAGCCTCTGTTGTGTTTCCCAGGGCTGCTGTCATGATTGCCATAAACTGAGTGGCCTGAAACAACAGAGTCAGAAATCAAGGCATCTGCAGGGCCATGCTGTCTCCGAAGGCTCGGAATATGGACCCCTCCTTGCCTCCTCCTAGACTCTGGTGAGTGACAGCCAATCCGTGGTGTTCCTGACCTGGTACACATCCCTCCAGTCTCCGTCTCTATCATCTCACATGGCCTTATAGGGACACCTGTCATTGGATGTTGGGCCTACTCTAACTCATGATGACCTTTATCCAGTATCATCTTAACTTGATTACATCTGCAAATATTCTATTTCCAAATTAAGTTCACATTTTCAGGAACCAAAAGTTAGGACATAAACCATGTTAGGGGACACAATTTTACCCATTACAAGACCCTCCCTGCCACCCCCATTTGCACATGCAGTGAACTGGGCCTGAAGGAACGGGGATGGAAGAAGACTGGCAAAATTAAAAAAAACGGTAGCTACAGAGTGCTAAGGAATTCCTGCTACAGATCATGCTATGCTTATAAGATTTAGTGGCCTGGCATGGTGGCTCACACCTGTAATTCCAAGACTTTGAGAGGCCGAGGTGAGAGGATGCCTTGAGCCCAAGAGTTCGAGACCAACCTGAGCAACATAGTGAGACCTCACCTCTACAAAAAATTTAAAAACTTAGCAGGGCATGGTGGCACATGCCTGTAGTCCCAGCTACTTGAGAGGCTGAGGTGGGAGGATTGCTTGAGTCCAGGATGTAGAGGCTACAATGAGCGGTGACTGTGCCGCTGTACTCCAGCCTAGGCAACAGAGATCCTGTCTCAGAGAAATAAATAAATAAAATAAAAGACTTAGAGAAAGTACTTGGAATGTTTGGAGATAGAGAGGAATTCAGAATACTTCATGTGGGAGCACAAATAACTGGCAGGTGGCGTCTGTATTAGGGTTCTTCAGAGAAACAGAACCAGCAGGATGCAGATTGAAACACATAAATGAAGACGGTATTCATTATGGAAACTGGCTTGGATGACTGTAGAGACTGAGAAGCCTCATATATGCAATCTGCAGGCTGGAGAAGCAGGGAAGCTATTGGTGTAACTCTCGGTCCGAGGCTGAAGGCCTAAGAAACTGGGGGGCCACTGTCAGAGTATGAAGCTGCAAGAACCTGGAGCCCCAGTGTCTAAGACCAGGAGAAGGTGGGTGCTCTAGCTCAAGAAGAAAAAAGAATTCCTCCTTCATCTGCCTTTTCACTCTCTCTGGGCATTCAACAGATTGGATAATGCCAGCCCACATCAGTGAGGGCAAATCTTCATTACTCAGTCTGATTCAAATGCCAGTCTCTTTGGGAAACACCCTCACAGACACACCTGGAGTTACTCTTTTACCAGCTATCTGGTCATCCCTTAGCCCAGTCAAGTTGACACCGAAAATTAATTATTACAGTGTTCAATGGCAGAAGGGCAGATTAAGATACACTAAAATGAGAAATGTCATACACTATAAAGTTTAAAAGTTTATATGCAGCTAATAGAGGAGGAAGAAGGATTGTGATGAGCAAGCACCTGCTAAGTATCTCTAACTCTGCGCTGGGTATTTAAGTGCCAGATTTTGTTCTATCCATTTGGGCCAGGTGTATCAACAGTTTATGAATGGAAAAATTAACCCATCATCTCCCACCACTTAAGCAACACAGATAGCAAGGGGGCAGAAATAGAATTGCCCTGTATGTGGGTCTGACAGAGGGAAAATACCCAGGGTAGGGACAGCATGGCTTAAACTGCACCTTAGTGAGCAGGCTGGAGAGAGATGCTGAGGTCAGGAAGAAGTCTGTGCTCTGAGCTGGAATCAGGACACATATCAGGGTGTGAGATCCAGGATGAGGTCTGTACTCTGGGCTGGAATCAGGACACATATCAGGGTGTGGGATCCAGGATGAGGTCTGTGCTATAAGGTAAAATCAGGACACACAACAGGGTCTGGGATCCAGGATGAGGCCTGTGCTCTGAGCTGGAATCAGGACACATAACAGGGTGTGGGATCCAGGATGAGGTCTATGCTCTGAGCTAGAATCAGGACACACATCAGGGTGTGGGATCCAGGATGAGGCCTGTGCTATAAGGTGAAATCAGGACACACAACAGAGTCTGGGATCCAGGATGAGGTCTCTGCTATGAGATGGAATCAGGACACACATCAGGGTGTGGGATCCGGGGTGAGGTATGTGCTGAGCTGGAATCAGGACACATAACAGGGTCTGGGATCCAGGATAAGGTCTGTGCTCTGAGCTGGAATCAGGACACACATCAGGGTGTGGGATCCAGGATGAGGTCTGTGCTATGCTATGAGGTGAAATCAAGATATAGGTTAGGGTTTCTAAGTGGGATTGCACAGAAAAAAATAAATCTAAGACACATTGAGGCTCCCAGACTTTTTATCAATTGGCAAATACTAGATGTGAGGAGAAAAATGTGGAGTTGTCAGAGGTGACTTGAATTTCAGAAAATGCTATGGAAAGAGTAAGGTGGCAGGAAGCTGAACAGAATTGATATTTACTTGTTTTGTTTGAGACAGGGTTTCACTCTGTTGCCCAGGCTGGAGTGCAGTGGCACAATCATAGCTCACCTCCTCGGCTCAAGTGATCTTCCTGCTTCAGCCTCCCAGGTAGCTGGAACTACAAGTATGTGCCACCTTGCCCAGCTAATTTTTAAATTTTTTGTGGAGATGGGTTCTTGCTATGTTGCCTAGGCTGGTCTCAAACTTCTGGACTCAAGTGATCCTCCTGCCTTGGTCTCTCAAAGTGCTGGGATTATAGGCATGTGTGAGCCACCACACCCAGCCAGATACTTTTTAAATTTTCCTAAGTGACATGGCATACAAGGAATAGCTGGACATAAAATTCCAGAACTGTGAGTAAGGATGTTTTCCCCCTTTACTAGATCGACCAAAACACTGTCCTACAATACCAGAGGAGTTTACTCTGGTATTTACTCACCCAAGAACCAATCACCCCATTTGAGGCCTGCAGCAAACCCTTCTTTTCTGGAAGGCAGAGTCCAAACACTACTCAGGGCTCCAACTTCCCGGGATGGTGGTGAGAATTAGGCAATACAATGCAGATAATATACCTAGCAAATGCTGAACATATTCCGTACAAAGTCTACTTCCCCATCCCTCCCTCATTCAGACACACACACATACCCCTGTAACACTGGGTCCCTGACCACTATCCTCTTTCTCTGAACATCAGTTTCCCTCCTGAAATTCCAAGGATGCTAGGATTCAATGCATTTAAGGAGCAGACAACAAAGACGATCACAAAGGATCAAACTCACATTCATGGAAACATCTGCGGAACTGTAACATCAAGGCGTTTCCCTCCTAAGAGCATCAAAACCTCTCCAGGCTGGGCGCGGTGGCTCACGCCTGTAATCCCAGCACTTTGGGAGGCCAAGGCAGGTGGATCACGAGGTCAGGAGTTCAAGACCAGCCTGACCAACATGGTGATACCTCGTCTCTACTAAAAATACAAAAATTAATCAGGCGTTGTGGTGGGCACCTGTAATCCCAGCTACTCAGGAGGCTGAGGCAGAAGAATCGCTTGAACCCAGGAGGCAGAGGTTGCAGTGAGCCGAGATGGCGCCACCGCACTCCAGCCTGGGGACAGAGCGAGACTCTCTCAAAACAACAACAACAACAGCAACAAAAACAAAAAAAAACCTCTCCAGGAGCGAATGTGAGAAAATCTACAAGATCTGTAAGGACTGAGAAAAGAGAACAGGCAGCCCTGCCTTTCATCAGGCTAAGAAGACAGACGAGTAACCCACTGTGCATTCACAGGACACGTGGTTTTCCCCAAGGTCTTGCCAAAGCTTCGAAACGCCACAACGCCCGCTTGACAGATGGACTCCTGCTTTCTAACCAAGAACGCCCTAGACCCACTTGCTGCACTCATTTATGACTGGGGGAACGCAACAACCAAGGCATCCTTGCCTCCTGACGGCCCATCACCCTCAGTGAACCCCTACTTCTTCTGAGCCCCCCTCTAAACAACAACCAGTGCAGATGCGACTCCCACTTCCCTGATACATTATCAATTATTAAAACTTCATACTTCCATGAGGCCTCAGTATCACACACAGGCTGTGAGTCCCCCAAGCAACTAGGCACACTGGTGTGATAAGCCTGGTCTCTGCCTCCAGGTCCCCTTCTTGCCTTCCCCCGACTGTGACCCAGCGACATTCCAATGCACCAGTAAAATCCCCTCATACCTTCTGCTTGTGTGCCCCACCCTGACCCCCCGACACAGGTACTTGCCCACGGGTTCTCTCTCTTTCTCGACCCCCCACCTGCACTGCAGAGCCTGGGCCCTTGGCTCTCATCCAACACGGCCCTGCACGCATGCGGTGCCTCCCTCTCCAGGACCTTGGAGCAGCATAAATCCTGTACTTTCATATCATTCTTGGACTGTAATTGCTGCAGCCACTTGGGAGTGATTCTTAAAGATCCCACAAGGGAGACTTACTCCCACACTTACATCACACCTGACATCATCCTCCTCCTCCCCTCCCCCTCTTCCTCCTTCTCCTCCTCCATCCGGAGCAAACCTCGCAAAAATACTTCTCCCATTATCAAGCCATATTCCAGCCTCCTCTGGGTGCCCTCCCCCGCTCACTGAATCAAGACGATAAATCTGGTCATTTCTGCAAATCTGAATTTGTCAAGGCACAAGCTTGTCCCTGATGGTCCAGCTGAATAAACATGAACAACCCAATGCTCAAGAATAGCTCCAAATACCAATGTTTGGGGTCTTTATTTTCTTGACTGTAGCATCCAACGCTGATTTCCAGGAAAAAGATGTCATCTCTTTAGTGACAACTTGGCCACTTAAAAGAGGTACTTTCACTGGAGCCCCTGAGAGTGGGTTATGTCAGCCTACCTGCAAATCTCAAAGTGTTTTTGCTTTCAAAAAAAGAAAAAATAAAATAGATGAACAGGCCTCTGTGACAGCTGGGAGGCCTCTATAGTGAGAAAATGTCATCATGCAAAGCTGTTTCACTGAGCAGCTTCTCACTGACCCCTTTCCACAGGCCACAATAAGGGACCAGATTAATGCCTTGCTGTCCATGCCCCCTAGATGTCTGTGACTAACACAGTAAGAACTAGCACTACTATTCCTAGGACTGTTCCTAAAGCCACAGTTTATTGAGTATCTACTATGCCCAGCTTACAACAGAGCTTCTCACATTGCAAAAAGCATGCAAGTCCCTGGTGCCTGGTTAGCCGCGCAAGCTGTGGTTGGGGCCTGTGGGTACTGACAGCTCCCAGAGAAGGCAGGTGTGGTTGGTCCAGTGATGGGGCTTCACATATTTGCACACCTGTATTTGTCATCAGTCTACAAGCATATTATGCGGAATGATGACCTCCTCTGCAGGGGGTGATGTCACAGTGGAACGGCTGCCCACCTGGGGGGCGATGTCACAGTGGAACGGCTGCCCACCTGCAAAGCACTGGGGCTTTAGGTTACACATCACATTTCCTTGTGCACACTTCACTTTCCAGGTTATATATAATTCACCCTTTCCTTTGTTATCGTCCATTCACCTTTCCACTCTGCAAGATGGCCGTCTCACGCCCTCTTCCTCCTGCTCTCACATTTCACCCTCTCTTTCTCCCTGTCACTTAAGGGCCCTGTGTAGCAGTCAGGGTTCTCCAGAGAAACGGAACAAATAGCATGTGGAGTGGGGGGAGGGAAGGGGGTGGGGATAGAGAGCTAGAGATCAATAGAGAGAGATGAGGGAGACTGTTTTCTTTTAAGGAACTGATTGGCTTGCAAGTCTAAAATCTGCAGGGCAGGCTGCAGATCCAGAAAGCCGAAGCTGCAGCAAGTCGGAAGGCGCGCCGCAGGGGGAGTTCCTTCCTCAGGAGACTGCAGTCTTTGCTCTTACGGCCTTCGACAGATTGGATGAAGCCCGCCCACGCTATGGAGGGTAACCCGCTGCATTCAAAGTCTACAGATTTAACTATTAATCATATCTAAAAAACAGCCTCACAGAAACACCAGACTGGTGTTTGAACAAAAACTGAGTACCACAGCTAGCCAAGTTGCCTCATAAAATAAAACGTCACACTTGCTCCTTATTTTACTGGAGTGTTGGCAAAGTTGGAAGAAGCCTGCCCCAGGCTCTCCCTGCCCAGATGCTGTGGACATGCCTCAGGTCCAGAGGCAGCCTTCCCTGCCCTCCGGCTCCCCGTGGGCCCTGGGTGCCAGCCCTCCCTCCTCCAGGCGATGCACTGCAATTTCTCCCATCTTTAAGATGAGACCGTTTTTCTCCACAGGGCTGTGTCCACTCTCATCTCCCTTCTCTTCCAGAAAGTGCCCTAGCCCAGGAGCTCCACTGTCTGCTTTGCTCAGGGGCCTCTCTACCAGATTCAATGGGCAGTGTTCTTTCCTCATCGGATTTGATCTTGGCGCAGGATTTATCCCCCTGACCTCTTTCTCTCCTTGAAACACAGGTGCTCACTTGGATTCCAGGGCTCCACACCTGCAATTTTCCTTTTATCTCAAGGCGGCAGCAGCTCTCCCTACCCCCTTCTCTTGCCCTCGTCCTCCCTCACTTTCCTCCTCCTACTTCCCCTTCTCTCCCTTCTCCTCCACTAACCCCTTGGGCTCCCACGGTCCAGGGCTGGCATTTCGCAGGGTCTGCCCTCCCTGGGGCTGCTTCTCAAAACACACTCAACCCTCTCAAGCCCCAGCTCCTGCTACATACGGTGACTCCAGATTTCCACCTCCAGCCACAGCTTTCTATCCCAGAGGGTCATCCCCACTTGTCTCCTGGGCATCTGAAAACCAGCAAGTCCCAAATCCACCAATTCAACCCCAAACCCAACCCCTTCCTGGAAACCTGCTTCCTTGCATCTGCCATCTCTAGAAGGCCTGTTCAGTCACCCAGTTTCAGCCCCAGTCACAGCCGTTCCTCACTCCTCTAACACAGGCAGCATGCCTTCAACACAGAGCCTGGATTGGGCCTACTGTTCACCAGCTGTGCCTCCACCAGTCAACTCCAGGAACCGAGCATCTCCTGCCGGGATCTCTACAACGATTCCTAACAGAGACTCTGCTTCATCTGTTCTGCACAGTGATCTTGATAAAATCAAGATTCCGTTAGGCCACACTCCTACTTGAAACCCTCTAATGACTATAACATCTGGTGACCTGGTTCCAGCCTCACCATTCTCTCACTATTCCTCTGCCCAGCTGAGCAAGCACACGCTGTTTCCTCTGCTGGAATACTCTTCCCACACACCTCTGCTCAGGAGCCCCCCACCTGCTCTCCACTCAAATGTCACCTCCTGACAGAGGCCCTACCTGAACATCCCCAGCACACTCTTCCCCACCATGTTGTATTTCTTTCATGACACCGATCACCAATGGCGTTATATTGCAGAATCGCTGATTTATTATTTGATTCCCCTCCCAACTCCTTGGATCATTCTTCTATGGTCTCCCCATGGATCGAATAATCATTGGCACATAGCAAACATTTCATAAAAACAGATACAATTGGCAACATTATATTCATACAAACCTAATACACGCACACACTGGGCATGATGATGGTGCAGTCCTTGAGCAGGGTTTACAGGCAGGATCCTCTTCCCGATGCTTCACCCGTGGTATCTGATACAACCCCACTTCATTCAGAGGCGAACACCTTCCCCACGGGCTCCTGTGCCCCCACCCAGCTCTATGCCATCCCTCTCCTCTCACTCACCAGCCCACCTTGCTTCGCACCGCTCCCCCTTAGGGCCTTTGCTGTCAAGGTGGTCTCCATGTGTCAAACAGGGACTCTGACCAACTACTTCATCTCAAATACCACCTTCACAGTAAGGCCTGCCTGCCCTCCTCTTTAATACCATGACTGTTACCAGCCCCTCCCCAGCACTCCTGACTTCCTGATGCCTCTCCACTTTCCTTTTTTTCTGTAGCACAGATCAAAGAGAGCAGGTCATGTTACTGATTTTGCTTCCTCCAATAGCCAGTTGTGTTCACAGATGTACCTGAGCACCTGGAAGGCTGGCTGCCTAGCACTCATGAGTGTACAGTAGGTACTCGGTATAGGTTTGCTGAATGACTGAATCTTTGATCCTGCACAACCATCCAATGAGGTAGACAGCATCATCCCTGTTTTCTGGATGAGGAAGTTGAGGTACAGAAAGGTTATGTAGGCCTGAGGTCACCTGGCTAGGAATTCATAGGGCAGGATTTAATCCGGGTGCCTGAGTCCAGAACCTTGACTCTGAAGCCCTGTTTTGAGCTAAATGCAGCAGCAGCATAAACAGCCCGTTTTGTGCCTCAAAAGGTGAACAGTGGGAGGCACAGCTGGGCAGGGACGTGTCAGGTCAGGGGAAGAAACTGAATTGGGTAGTGGGGATTAATTGGATGCTGTCTGCCAGCAATTTCTGCCTCCTGCATTTTATCTGCTTTAGGGTTGCAAGGGGCAGAGCTATGAACACGGATGCCCACTCAACAGCCAGTTCCTGGGCCAATCAAAGGGTTGGGAGCTGTAGCACCAGAGCTCTGGAACCCCACAGACTAGGATGTTTGCTAGAGCACCTAAGCCCTACCAGCCTTTGATGACCCCTCGGTTCCTCCCAATTCCTCTCCTCCATGTCACGGTTCCTGGCTGGTGTTCCTGAGAGTGGGCTGTACATGAGTTCTGTAAATGCCAGTCCAGTTACGTCAAAGGGGGTGGCTCTCACTTGTACCTGTAGGCTCCAGCTAAGATCTGCGTGGCCCTGCCCGGCATCTGGCTGTCATCCGGGAAACAATCACTGTTCACAAACAAGGGCTTCACTCCTTCGCTCGCTCCATCTCCTGCTAAAGTCAGAATGTGAACACTGACAAACAGCGGCTCCCAGTAACTCTGCTAGTCAGAAGTGATTATTCCAGCAGTTCAGAGGAGGAAGTGGCGGTGCCCAGGGCCACGGGATTAGAAGAGCAACGGAGCTAAAGGATCCCGTGCCTCAGTCCAACCACCTTGTTCCCACTTACTCAGCCGGGCCACTTTCTTTGGAGAAACTGATTTCCTTCTGCTTGCCCTTGAAAGGGGATCCGAAGGAAATCGGAGCTACCGGCAGTAGCTACCCTCCGGAAGACGGAGAATCTTCTCCACCTTCTCCTCTGCGTAGGAGAATCCAATTTCGGTGCAGAGCAGATGGCGAAGGGGCCATGGGAATCAGACCTGCTCAGGGACCGGGTTCGCACTTTCTCTCAAGCTCTGGAGCCTGAAAAATGAGCATTCCCCGGGGACGACCCATGTAAGAATTTGGGCTATATTCAGCATAGTGCAGCGGCCAGCAGCCCTGTCTCGGGGTGGGGTCCGGAGGCCCCCATTTCTGCTTGCCCCTCACTGCCACATAACCTTGGGTCAGAGTCCCTCATCCTCTCCCTCCGCCACTGTGCACAGCTGCAACCGTGTTCACTTCAGCGAGCAACGAGCCCCGTGACCCCCACTCAGGGTCAGGACTCACCGCAGCCCCTCTGCGCAAGCCCCGAGGCTCTGCGTGGCCTCCGGATGCGCGGCCTTTCCTAACCCGGGGACTCCGCACGTGGGCGCCAGGCCCGGAAGGCGCGGATGTGAGCGCTACCTTCGGCGTCCCGCAGCGGCAGGAGGGGCTGGGCGGCCCGGGCTTCGGCTGGCGGCGGGGGGGGGGTCGCAGGGGAGTCTGAAATGAGGCGGCCGACGGCGCGCGGGGCCTCCTCTCTCCGCTCCATCCCGCACCCCCAATTCCAGCTTCCATCCCCAGCCGCGACTCCCGGTCGGCCGTTCCGGGCGTCCACTGGCCGCGTGTCCTGGGGGCGCCAGAGAAGGAGAACAGCGGAGAAAAGAGCCCCGGGCCGACCTTCCGGACCGGCGGGCCCGCGGGGAAGCCCGGGCGCGGCGACGTGGCTGACCCACAAAGCCCCCGGCCCGGCGGCCAGGCCCAGGCGCGCGCGGAGCGGGGCGGGCCGGGGGTGTCGGATGTCACCCCCAGCGCACACCTCGGCCGGGGGGCGGGGGAGCGAACCACTGAGATGCGGAGACCTCCCCAGTCCTAGAGCGGAGCAGGAAGTGTCCCAGGGGAGGGAGCCGGAGGGCTCCGGCCTTTCCTTTCCTCGGCGTCCGGCGGGCTCCCGCGGCGGCCAGGCCTGCGCCGCCCGCCAACAGGGACGCGCCGCGGCGGTGAGTGCACCCCGGCTCCCGCGGCCGGCCCCGCCCCGCCCTCCTCGGCCCGCGCCCGGCCTCCGCGGCGCCGCCTCCCAGCCCAGAGCCCAGCGCTCAGGAAGGTGCGGGCGGGGGAGAAAGCAACACCATTGTTTTTCAGGCGCCTCCATTTGCCCCCGAGCCGAGCCGTGGCTTTCCGGATGATCGGGAGACGCGGTCTGGACGGGCCGGGAAAGGAGCCGGGCGCCTGCGGAGACCCCGCCTCAGCGAGTACGCCCGGCCGGGCGGGCTGGGAGGATGAGGACGGCTGCCCTGGACTTCCGCCGCCACAGGAGGGTTTTCGGCCGGACGCCGGGAGGGAGCTCCAGGCTGTGAGGTGAGGAGCCCGGAGCCGGCGAGACGGGAGACGCGCGTGTGAGGGAGACCGAGGGCGCGGAGGGCGGGCTCCCCCTTCCCTGGCCCACAGCGACCTTCTCCTTCCCTTTCTGCCGATCCAGCTCGGTCCCTCCTCCGCGAAAGGCTGGGAGCTCGCTCCGCCCCTGCGGGGCCCTCCTCCGCCTCACTCACGTTAGTTCATTCATCAGGCATCTCCTCCGAGCCTCCGACGCGCCAGGTGCCGCCGTGACAAAGACGGACGCGGCCGTCTGGTTGGAGACGATCCGAGTGGCAGCCCGGGTGGGCGCCGGTGCTCGGGGGGGCGGGCCTGAGTAGTCCTGGGCGCTGCAGGTGTGTGATGGGCGCCGCAGGGGGCCGCCGAGCAGGGCGGGCGGGGCCCACCCCGGGCTCCAGATGCCGGAGCCGCCCTGGAAGCGATCCGGTGGTGGGGAGCGCTGTAATGCGTCCAGCCCGACGCCGCCACGGCCCCCATATGGGTTTCTGTGTATGTTGTTACTTTGGAAAGCAAAGAGATTCAGAGCAGTGGGTGTTTCTGGAACCACTCAGTTGTTCCGTAGCTTTTCTGGCATCACTTGTCTTTCTGTGAAATGGGAGTGAGGCCCGAGTCCCCCTTCCCACCTTGTGAGCTGTTGGAGGTTAAGACGCGGCCACGCTGGACAACCTCGTGCAGATGGGGGAGTGGCAGGCACTGCCGGTCCTAAGGATCACAGAGGCCTGATGGCAGAGAAGGGGACTGTGAGTGTCCCCATGTGCCCTTTCACGGGCCCAGCGTTCTAAAGTGGGAATCATAAACACCAGGTATACTGGTTGCTGGTCTCTTGCCACCCTAGTTGTGGCAAAAGTGTCGGCTAGTTGTCTGCACACCAGCGGGGAGGTGTAGGGACCCCTGAGTCCCACCTTGGGGGTGTGGCAGCTGCAGTGTCCAGGGGTTCTTTGAGGGCTGAGCTGTGCAGTGACGGACCCACTTTTCTGTCCTGGCCGAGGAAGGGCTTTGGCGAGTGTGCAGTTGCCTTCAATGTGGTTTGAAGAGGGCAAGGATAGAGAATAGGGTGGAGGCGAGGTTGAAGGTCAGGGCAGAATTGGCAGAAGGCTCATAGGAAACCACTGATACTTCTAGATGCAGTGTTATTTGTCCCTGGTAGACTGCATGTAGCTGTCTCATGTGATGTTTTCCCTTGCCTCCCATTGCAGACTCTGCTGGGCAAAGCTGATTCTGGCTGGGTTGTCCATCCAGCACGCAGCACCATCAGCCCTCTGCCACCAGAAGGGTGGATTTTCCATTCCTGGATGTGCTTGAAGGCTCATCCGATGCATGTCTTTGTCATTCCAGCTCCATTTGTAAAGGTCTTAATAACAAGAACAGTGACTTCGGCTCCGGAGCTTCAAGATAGTGGCCTGCTTGGCCTGCCCATCTCGGATCTCTCCAGGAGGACCCAGCCACCCAAGGTACCAGAGCGTCTTGATTACATCTGCATGTGGCGCTGTTGGTTTCCTGGGATGCTCAAAACAGCAGTGTCACGTTGAAATGCCACCACTTTCTCCCAGATTTCCTGTCTTGTTCATCCAGTCACCCACTTAACGGGAATCCACACGTAATGGTACTGATGGGGGGAGGGCATCTTTCTGTCTGTTTCATCCTGTGTGTAAAGACCAGCCACACCAACACTCCCTACCTTTCCCAGGGCTTCTCCAAAGGGCTGGTCTCTGAGGGCATTGACAGTTTCCTTGTCACTGTCCCCCAGAAATGACCACAGGAGACCAGAACACTGAAGCCAGTGATTTCTGTTTGGAAATAGGGTCGTCTTCTGCTGCTGACCCCCATCAAATCCCATCATGCCCACAGCCCTGTGCCCCCGAGTCTTGGCTCCGAAGGAAAGTGAGGAGCCCAGGAAAATGAGGAGCCCACCTGGAGAGAACCCTAGCCCCCAGGGGGAGCTTCCCAGCCCCGAGTCCTCTCGGCGTCTCTTCCGCCGTTTCCGCTACCAGGAGGCGGCGGGCCCCCGGGAGGCCCTGCAGCGCCTCTGGGACCTGTGCGGGGGCTGGCTGCGGCCTGAGAGGCACACCAAGGAGCAGATTCTGGAGCTGCTGGTGCTGGAGCAGTTCCTGGCCATCCTGCCCCGGGAGATCCAGAGCTGGGTGCGGGCGCAGGAGCCTGAGAGCGGAGAGCAGGCTGTGGCCGCGGTGGAGGCACTGGAACGGGAGCCCGGGAGACCCTGGCAGTGGGTGAGTAGAAGAGGTGGGGCTGGGACGGGTAGAGATCTGGTACTTAGACACTTTGGCTGGGCCATGCATGTGCTGGCTGGGGAATGAGGAGTTCCATCGAGAGCCATTTACTTTGGTTAGGTCCAGACTAGAGTTTCCTAAGAAAGCCAGTTTTACTCCCTGAAGGCTCTAATTTGGGCATGATAGTGTCGTGCCCCTTTACAGCCCAGTCCAAGGCCTAAGTTGAGCCTTTGATGGTCAGCTGTGGAGTGGATGGTCACCAGGCCCAGGGAGAGATGGGACCTCTTCCCCTAGCCCTGAAAAGCTGTCTCTGGGATTGCAGCTCAAGCACTGTGAAGACCCTGTGGTGATTGATGATGGGGACAGCCCTCTGGACCAGGAGCAGGAGCAGCTGCCGGTAGAGCCCCACAGCGACCTTGCAAAGAACCAGGATGCCCAGCCCATAACCCTGGCACAGTGCCTGGGGCTCCCAAGCAGACCACCAAGCCAGCTCAGCGGGGACCCAGGTATGCAGCCCAGGGGAGTGTAGCAGGGGTGATCTGGGGAAGTGCACACCCCATACTGTGCACTGGGTGTGGTTTTTGTTAAGCTGATGGCTTTTACATCAGCAGTGTTCTCGTGTCCCCGAGGTGCTGTGAGCTGTTGTCAGGGTCTGAGTCCCTTCCTAGAGCAATTAAATGAGAACCTCATCAGGATGTTTGTCCTCTTCATGGTTCTAGAGCCTCTCAGAGCTAACGCTTCTGTAGGTGGGTGTCACTGAGGTGGTGCCCTCTCATCTCTTCGAGGGTGCATCTCTGCAGGATTTGTCAGTTTGATGACAGCTGGGGACTGCCAGTGTACAGCTGGGGCCTGCTGCATGACTGGAGCATGGCCATTTCTTGTCTCTTGGAACCTCTGTTTCCTTGGCTAAACAACTCCTGTTTACAGGAGTATTGTGATGCTGCGAAGAGATGTAGAAATACTTAGGAGGACACAGGGTGGTGTCTAGTGTGTGGGGCCAGAACATCAGCTACACATAGTTTGAGTATGTATATGAAGTACATGGTAGCTACAGGAAAGTAGTTTTTTCATCAGATAAACTTAGATTTGAATCTTCTGGTTATGACCTGAGGCATGTTTCTAAACTCTGAAAGCCTCAGTTTCTTCCTCTGTCCAGCAGAGATAGTAATTACCTTTTTTGGGGTTTTTGGACAATTAAATGAGATACAACCTACAAAAGGTTGAACACAAGGCCTGAGGTGCCCAAAACTTTAAGTACATATCATGGGAAACCAGCGCCCTTGGGTTGAAGGAAGTCTGGCCCGTGGGTTCCTCTGGGTGGACTTGCCACGGTGCTTTATATGTACAGTGGAAAGAGAGTGTCTGGGGGGCCAGGGGGGCTTTCTTATGACTCTGGGTGGACTTGCCATAGTGCTCTATAGGTACAATGGAAAGAGAGTGTCTGGGGGGCCAGGGGAGACTTTCTTATGACTTGCAGAAGTTGTGTTTGGCATTATGATAAGCTTTTCAGTAATAAAACCAAAATGCCTATTAAATTTCTGTGTGTGGAAAAACTATATTGACTTCTGTACAAATCACATAAACTCTTCAGCCTTTTCTTGCTTATAAATCAAGTTTGGTGTGTTGTTGGCTGCCATAACAAAGTACCACAGACTGGATGCCTTATGTAACAGAAATGTATTCTCTCACAGTTCAGGAGGCTGGAAGTCTGAAGTCAATGTATCAGCAGCCTTGGGTTCTTCTGAAGCCTCTCTCCTTGGCTTGTAGACATGCCTAATGTTAACACTAAGAGAAGTTTGCAGATAGACATTTAGAAGGAGCTAGGGGTTGGGCGCGGTGGCTCACGCCTGTAATCCCAGCACTTTGGGAGGCCAAGGCGGGCGGATCACCTGAGGTCAGGAGTTCGAGACCAGCCTGGCCAAGATGGTGAAACCCCATCGCTACTAAAAATACAAAATTAGTTGTGTGTGGTGGTGGGTGCCTATAATTCCAGCTTTTCGGGAGGCTGAGGCAGGAGAATCACTTGAACCTGGGAGGCGGAGATTGCAGTGAGCTGAGATCACGCCATTGCATTCCAGCCTGGGTAAAAACAGTAAAACTCCATCTCAAAACAAAACAAAAAAAAAGGAGCTAGGAGGGGAAGTCTCTTATGCCACTGGCTCTCTTTGGGACCCGTAAAAACCCATGAATATCCGGCCCTGAAAGCTGACAACAAGCTTTGTGCCAGGACTCTTGATGACGGGCGGTTTTCTTTCAGGGAAAGGAAGAGGAAGATGTTTACACTAAGAGAAGTTTGCAGAGCAGGTGTAACAGACACCTTCTCTCTCTGGGTCTCTTTATGTGGTCTTTCCTTTGTGTGTGTCTGTGTCTTAATCTCCTCTTCTTATAAGTACACCAGTCCTATTGGATTAGGGCCCACCCATATGACCTGATTTTATCTTAATGACCTCTTTAAAGACCCTATCTCCAAATACTCAGTCGCATTCTGAGGTACCTAAGGGTTAGGGCTTCAACATAGGAATTTGAGAGGGCCATAACTTAGCCTGTAACAACAGGTATAAGGGAAGCAGCCAGTCGCCCACATAATGCACGTGCAAGTAGCTTGGGTTATGCAGGAAGTGGGGGGCTGTGAGAGGCCTTGTAGTGGGGTCTGGGAAGGCATGCAGGTGGAGAGGAAGAAGTTTCAGGAACTACAGTAGCCTGTGCAGTTGCTTCTTGATAAAGTTCTGAGATAAGCCAGCAACCACAGATGGGCTTTAGGAAAACAGGGCCAGCTCTCCCATTTCCATGAGCAATAATCAATAGGCAAAGTAGGTATGATGAGAGTTAGCAATCAGGAAAACCTTAACTATTGGGACAGTTCATCATTGGAATGCACTACCTATCAGAGCTGTATAGTTCCTCATCTTGAAGATCTTCCCCAAAAGCTAGATTTTGTGTAGGGTCTGCAACTCTCCGAAGTGATTCTTGAAAGGGTCCATGTATTCATTTATCGGGGCCAAAAGTAGGGTGGGACTACATATTCATATATATATATATATATGTGTGTATATATATATATGTATGTATATATATGTGTGTGTATATATATGTGTGTGTATATATGTGTGTGTGTGTGTATATATGTGTGTGTGTGTGTATATATATATATGCGTGTGTATATATATATATACATATGTCTCAGCCTCCCAAAGTGTTGGGATTACAGGCGTGAGCCACTGTGCCCGGCCAACATGATTTTAAACTTGGAGAAGGGAGGGCTAGGGATGGGAAGGAGTTAGCCAGGTTACCCAGTTAGGGGGCATCTCCATTCATATATATATGAATATCTGGGATAGCTACATATCCCAGAAGGTGGCAGGTGTGAGGAAGCAGAACTAAAACACCACCTCCTAGCCAGGCATGGTGGCTCATGCCTATAGTTCCAGCTACTCAGGGGGCTGAAGCAGGAGGATTGCTTGAGGCCAGGAGTTTGAGACCAGCCTGGGCAACATAGCGAGAACCCACCTCTAAAAAATAAAACACCCCCTCTGGGAGACATCGGTCAAAGAGTACAAAGTTTCCGTTAGGTAAGATGAATAAATTCTGGAGATCTATGGTACAGCATGGTGAGGTTGATGAAAAATAATGCATCTTATACTTGAAAATTGCTAAGAAAGTAAATAAGAAATGTTCTCGTCACAAAAATATATGAGGTATAGATTTGTTAATTAGCTTAATTTAATCATTTCACAATGTATAGTTATCACATTGTACAGTTTTCGTATACAAAATACATACAATTTTTGTCAATTATAGCTTAATAAAACTGGGAGGTAAAAGTAAGTTAAATAAAGATGAAGATAGAAACTTAAAATGGAACATACACACAGAAAAATACCACCTCCTCAAATCTACGCCCATCCAGCCTGAGCTTCCCCTTCAGACACAGTGAAGAGGCTGCCTTCCACTGAGACCCCTAGAATGGCACTGCCATCTGTGTGGGCTCCTGGCCCCGTCCTTTGTTCCACATAGCCACTCCTGCAGCTGCTGTTTCCTGCAGGCTTTGTATTCCAGGTCTGAAAGGCCAGGGACACTGGCCTCTGGGGTTTGCTTTGATAATGACTTAACATGTGACCTGGGGTTAACCAGTAGACTATAGCACAGCTCTCCAAGTCTTAATCTGAGAAAGGAGTACCTTTTGAAACAGAGCTCATTTTTACATGGCTGCACTGTTGGCAGGGGATGTGGCTCATGGCAGAAGCCTGAACAAAGGGTAGTTTCCAATTCCAGGAGAGAAGAGTGGCAGAGTCCCTGGTAGCCCAAAATAAGGCTGGTGAGATGGTCCCAAAGCCACACTTTACATTTTGTATGAGGGTCTTTAGGACACTGTGTCAAATGCTCTTTCAGGAGTACCTACAGTGGTAACAGTTTTTCTTTTTTGTTTAATTTCTGTCTTCAAATTGACAAAAAAAAATTGTATGTATTTACAGTGTACAGTGTAATGTTTTGATATCTATACACATTGTGAAATGATTAAACCAAGCTACTTAGCTGGGCATGGTGGCACACCTGTAGTCCCAGCTACTCAGGAGGCTGAGGTGGGAGGATCCCTTGAGCTCAGGAGTTCTGTTCCAGCCTAGGCAACCTAGTGAGACCAGTCTCTTAAAAAAAAAAAAAGTCAAGCTAATTAATATAATGCATTACCTCATATACCTATCCTTTTTCTGTGTGTGGTGAAAATACTTCAGATCTACCCTCTTAGCAATTTTCAAGTACACAGTACGTTGTTACTGCCTATAGTCACCATGTTGTGCAATAGGACTCCTGAGTTTACTCCTCTCATGTCACTGAAATTTTGTACACTTTGACCAATGTCTCCCCAGTCCCCTCATTCCCTAGCCTCTGGTAACCAGCATTCTGATCTCTGCTTCTATGAGTTCAACTTTTTTAGAGTCCACATTTAAGTGAGAACATGCAGTATTTCTTTTTGTGTCTGGCTTATTGCTCGTAGCATGTCTTTCAGGTTCATTCATGTCGTCAAAAATGACAGGATTTTCCTTCTTTTTTTATGGAGTTCCACAGTAATTCTGATTGCCAACAGCCCTTACTTTTTTTTTTTTTTTTTTTCATTTGAGACAGAGCCATGTTCTGTCACCCAGGCTGGAGTGCAGTGGTGCAGCTGTGGCTCACTGCAGCCTCCATCTCTCAGGCTCAAGCAATCCTTCTGTTTCAGCTTCCCAGTTTTTTTATTTTTAATAGAGATGCGGTCTCCCTATGTTGCCCAGACTGGTCTTGAACTCCTGAGCTTAAGCAATCCTCCCACTTTGGCTTCCCAAAGAGCTAGGATTACAGGCATGAGCCACCACATCCAGACCCTAAGAGTCCTTATAGATTCCTCAACTCTACGGCTTTTTCTTTTTCTTCTTCTTTTTTTTTTTCTTTTTCTTTTTAAGAAACAAATACTCTGTGTTGTCCCTGCTGGTCTGGAACTCCTGGGCTCAAGTGATTCTCCCACCTCAGTCCCCAAAATAAGAATAGCTGAGATTACAGGCATGTACCACCACACACGGCTGAACTCCATAGAGTTTTAACCTTTATTTTCCCATAGTTTGGATAACAATGCTGAGGTCCGGGGACCTACCCGAGGTGAAAGAGTTCATTTAATTGACCGTGCTATCATGAACCCAGGCACACTCTGTTACAGCCCCCCTTGTTATATCTGGAAACAAAGTCGCAGCAATCTTTGTGGTTTACAGAGTACTTTTCATGTGCGTCATTTTGTAATCCTCATTTTACAGTTAAGAACAGAGACTGGGGTTTTATGAAAAGCACCATGAAACAGTTCCCTGTTGGTGCCTCTCTTGTGATTTTCTTTGCTACCAAAATGGAAATGAAGAGCCGCAGGAAGCTCAGAAGGTATCAGCACCAGGCCTGGCCCTGGCCCACTTTAGGACACCATTTTCTGATCTCTTTCAGTTCTGCAAGATGCTTTCCTTCTTCAGGAAGAGAATGTGCGGGACACACAGCAGGTGACCACCCTCCAGCTACCCCCGGTGAGTGGTTTCTACAGGAGTCCTTGAAAATCCCCTGTTTGCCTCTGTAGGCTACAGGGCAGCTTTCTTAGGACCCCAGCCAGCTTTCTGACTGCCACACAGGATGTTCAGTCCCAGCCCAGAAAAGCTAAAATAGGCAGAGCGTGAGCTTAAGAGACGCCCCATTTCTCCTCCTTCCCTGTGGTCCCAGCCGCCCACTGGGTCTACTGTCATCAGGCCACCTTCAGGAAGCTTTGTGCAGACGATAGCAGGAAACAAAGGCCCATGAGTCCCCATTGATGGGCCTCTCAGCATGTCTAAGTTCCCCTCTTGTGAAAAAGGAGATCTCTCTGCTCTTTTATTTTACAGAGAATTTTTCAATTTAATAATCATCGCAGCAATGGTTATATTTTAGAAATGTTAGGAAGTGGAGGGAAGAAAGCACAGATAATTTCAGTCCTGTCACAGATCTACGTGGTGAGTCATTCCAGAATTTCCTCGAATGTTCTCGTTCGTGTTTTTGTGTAAGACTTGCTTACTCGGGTGCTCTGAGGAGTCAGAGTCAGGGCTGGGGGCTGGTCCAGCAGGTGATCTTACTCGCCTCTCTCTAGCCCAGTTGCTGTCTTTGGCCATGTTTTCTGGCCATATCTCCTTCACTTTCCCTCCTAACACTTTCCACTGGCTGGCACAAGATTTAGTTATGACAGCATCATCCCCTCCCATGGGAACAGGATGTGTGGCTCCTGCTTTTGTTTAGTTGCTCCTTACCCAACAGAAAACTGTGAAAAACAGTAGACACTCTTATTACCATGTCTCAGCAGAATGTCGGAAGCTGAGCAGTTTGCTTTCTGCACAGTTCATTTGACATGACTTTATTTTATTTTTATTTTTAGAGACAGGGTCTTGCCTTGTCACCCAGGCTTCAATGCAGTGGCACAGTCGTAGTTCACTGCAGCCTCAAACTCCTGAGCTCAAGCCATCCTCCCACCTCGGTCTCCTGAGCAGCTGGGACTACAGGTGCATGCCACTACACCCAGCTAAGTTTTGTATTTCCTTGTAGAGACAGGGTCTCGCCATGTTGCCCAGGCTGGTCTCAAACTCCTGACCTCAAGTGATCCTCCTGTCTCAGCCTCCCAAAGTGCTGGGATTACAGGCATGAGCCACTGTGCCCAGCCAACATGACTTTAAACTTGGAGAAGGGAGGGCTAGGGATGGGAAGGAGTTAGCCAGGTTACCCAGTTAGGGGGCATCTCCATAACTTGCTTTTGCCCCACCAGAAATGTGGCACACGCCTGTTTACCCTGATGCTCAACACATACATGTCAGCATCTGCTGTGTACTGTGACCATTTCCAAACACAAAGGAGGTAAAACCAGTATTTCTTATTAAAATTTGGACATTTAACCAGTATAACACATAAGGGGATGCTGTTAATCCAGTACCTAATGAGGTTTGGTCTTCATCTTTCAATTCCTGCAGTCCCTAGTAAATGCCATAGCGAGCACAGTACAGAGATTTTGATAAGTCAGTACTGTTGTATTACTCTGATAGTTTCTTCCCAGTGATAGTTTCTTCCCAGTGCACTAAAAGTCACCATCATGAAGATGTTGTTTATAAGTGTTTTTTAATTTCTGTTTTTAATTGTGGTAATATACACATAGCGTAAAATTTTCCATCTTAACTGTCTTTAAGTGTGCGGTTCAGTGGTGTTAAGTATATTTACATTGTTGTACACCCAATCTGTAGAACTTTTTCATCTTCCCAAACTGAAATTCTCTATACGTTAAATAATAACTCCTCATTTACCCTTTCCCTTAGCCCCTGGCAACCTCCATGCTACTTTTAGTCCCTATTAATTTGACTATAAATACCTCATATAATTGGAATTATGCACTATTTGCCTTTTTGTGACTGGCTTATTTCATTCAGCATAATGTCCTCAAGGTTCATCTATGTTGCAGTATGTGTCGGAATTCCCTTCCGTGTTTTTTTTTCCCCCGAGATGGAGTCTTGCTCTGTCGCCCAGGCTGAAGTGTAGTGGCTCGATCTCGGCTCATCGCAACCTCCGCATCCCGGGTTCAAGCAATTCTCCTGCCTCAGCCTCCCGAGTAGCTGGGATTACAGGCACCCGCAACCACGCTTGGCTAATTTTTGTATTCTTAGTAGAGACGGGGTTTCACCATGTTAGTCAGGCTCTTGAACTCGAACTCTTGACCTCGTGATCCACCTGCCTCGGCCTCCCAAAGTGCTGGGATTACAGGCGTGAGCCACCATGCCTGGCCATGAATTCCCTTCCTTTTTAAGGTTGAATAATACTCCCATGTGTGTATATATCACCTTGTTTATCCATTCATCTGTCGATGGACATTTACATTGCTTCCACATTTTGGCTTTTGTGAATAATGCTGCTATGAACATGGTACACGTGAAGTTTTGTTTTTCTTTTTAAATGAATCTTCTCATTTTTACGTAATTGTAGATTCACATGCCATTGTAAGAAATAACACAGAGAGATCCTGTGAACTTTTTAAACCCTCAATAGTAAAATATAGAGTAAAAATCTATATTCTATAAATATAGTACAATGTCACACCCAGGGTATTGACAATGATACATGCAAGATAGAGAACAGGTGCTTCACCAGAAGGATACCTCCTGTTACCTAATGTCCACACTCATTTCTTTCCTACCCTCACCCTCTCTTCAGCCTCTGGCAACCACTGATCTGTTTTTCAGCTCTGTGATGTCATTTCATTTCAAGAATGTTATATAAATGGATTCATATAATATGTAACCTTTGGGGATTGGCTGTTTTCATTCAGCGTAATTCTATGGAGCTTCATTCAGGTTGTTGCGTGTTACTATTCCATTGCTTTTCGTTGCTGAGTAGTATTCCATCACATGGAAGTCCAACAGTTCGTTTAACCATTCACTGGTTGAGGACTATCCGGGTTGTTTTGGGGTCATTATTGTATAAAGCTGCTGTAAATATTTGTGTGCAGGTTTTTATATACACATCAGTCTTCATTTCTCTGGGATAAATGCCCAGGTATGCAATCGTTGGTAAGTACAAAAGTTGGTAAGTTTTGTAAGAAAGTACTCTTATCTGATGTTAATATAGCTTTTCTTCTTTCTTTTGATTAATAATTGCATAATATATTTATTCCATCCTTTTACAGTCAACCTGCTTATATTATTATATCTGAAGTAAGTTACTTTTAGATAGTATATATGTGTTGTTTTATTTTGTTTGAGGCGGAGTCTCACTCTGTCACCCAGGCTGGAGTGCAGTGGCGCGATCTCAGCTCACTGGAGCCCCCATCTCCTGGGTTCAAGCAGTTCTCTTGCCTCAGCTTCCCGAGTAGCTGAGACTACAGGCGCGCACCACCAGGCCCGGCTCATTTTTGTATTTTTAGTAGAGACAGGGTTTCACCATGTTGGCCAGGCTGGTCTTGAACTTCTGACCTCACGTGATCCACCTGCTTCGTCCTCCAAAAGTGCTGGGATTACCGGTGTGAGCCACTGCACCCGGCCTAGATAGTATATATTTGGATAATGTTTTCTAATCTACTCTGCCAGTTACTGTGTTTTGATTGATGTATGTAGACCATTTGTATTTAATGTCATTACCGACATGTTAGGGCTTAAGTTTGTCTTTCTGTTTTTCTGGCTCTGTTTCTGTTTCTCTGTTTCCTTTTTCCTATTTTTCTGTGTGTTACTTGAACATGTAGAATTCCATTTCGATTTACCTAGTGTGGTGTTGAGTGTATGTATATTTTTGTATAGCTTTTTTAGTGGTTATTCTAAGTATTACATTATATATACATAACTTATCTACTGAGTATCATTTTATCAGTTTGAGTGAAGTGTAGAAGCTTATTTCCTTTGTTCGGGCACCGTGGCTTGTGCCTATAATCCCAGCACTTTGAGAGGCCAAGGTGGGAGGATTGCTTGAGCCCAGGAGTTTGAGACCAGCCTGGGCAACATAGCGAAACCTTGTCTCTACAAATAATAATTCTAAAAAAATTAGCTGGGAATGGTGGTGTGCTCCTATAGTGCCAGCTACTTGGGAAGCTGAGGCAGAAGGATTGCCTGAGCCCAGGGGGTTGAGGCTGCATAGTAAGCTGTGATTGCATCACTGCACTCCAGCCTGGGTGACAGAGTGAGACCCCATCAGAAAAGAAAAAGAAAGAAATATAATATACCTCCTTTTACATACCCTCATCCTTCTTCCCCATTATAATGCAGTTGTTTAAATATTTCCTCTACATACATTTAGAACCGCATCATAGAGTGTTGTAATTTGTGCTTCAACTGTCAAACATTATTCAGAAAACTCAAAAGGAAAAAGAAAACCTATTTATTACCCATATTGTGGCTTACTGTTTTCTTTCTTCTTATGTTCCAAGGTTCCTGCTTTTTGTTTAGAGTGTTTCTTTAGCCATTCTTTTAAGATAGATCTGCTGGTGATAGACTTACATATTTTTTCCTCATCTTAGTAGGTCTTCATTTCCCCATCATTCCTGAAGGATGTTTTCACCAGATGAAAGATTCACACTTGACAGTTTTCTTTCAGCACTTGAAAAATATTATGTTACTTCCTTCTGGCCTCCATGGCTTTTGATGAGAAATCTGCTGTCATTCAAAAACTTTTTCCCTGTAAGGAAGGTATTATTTTACTCTGGCTACCTTTAAGATTTTTTTCTTCCTTTGCCTTCAGTTTTCAGAAGTTAAATTATGCTGTGTCTTGTTATGGATTTCTTTAGATTAACCTGTTTAGAGTTTGCTCAGCTTCTTACATTTCTAGGTTTATGTCTCTTTCCAAGCTTGGGAATTCTTAAGCTAGATTTTTCTAGTACTTTTTTAGTCCCTCTCTCTTTCTCCTCTCCAGACTGCTAAGGATACAGGTTTTAGATCTCTTGTTAGAAACTGTGTAATTTATAAAGGTACCTGAGACTGTTCATTTTTTTTCAGCCTGTATTCTCTCTGTTGTTCAGATGGAATAACTTTATTTTTCCGTCTTCAAGTTGACTGAGTCTTTCTTCTGTCCCCTCCTCAGCTGAGCCTATTCACTGAGCTTCTTATTTCATATTGTGGTTTGTACTGTTCACATTTCCAGTTAGTTATTTTCTGTATCTTCAGTTTCTTTGCTGAGACTTTCTGTGTCTTTACAGACACTTTCTATTTTTTCGTTTGTTTGGAGTGTGCTTATAATTGTTCATTGAAGCATTTTATGACAGCTTCTTTGTCAGATAGTTCTAACGTATCTGTCACCTGAGGGTTGGCATCTGTTGGTGGTTATCTTTATTCATTCAGTTTCAGATCTTGGTATAGTGAGTGATTTTCTGCCTGCATATTTTTATATGATGAGACTCTGGACCTTAACTTCGGTGTGGCTGGTTTTGTTTGGTTGTGCAGTGTTGTTTTTGACATAGCTCCAGCAAGAGAAGGGCAGGTGGGCCACCACTTGTTATTACCTGGTGAGAGAACGTCAGGTTTCCTCCTGGATCTCCGCGGGCATCAAAGTGGGGATGCTCCTCATACACCCGAGTGGGAGTGGAGTTCCAGCTCCCTACATGGTCTCCACTGGTGGCGGGGGGGGGGCTTGTTCTTAGCTAGCAGGGATGGAGGTCCCAGCTCCGCATTTGGCCTTCTCTGAGACCACCCCAGCAGGGGTGTTAGGGCACCTCATTGCACCTGGTGAGGGTGGAAGTCTAGGCTCCCCAGTCATTCTCTGCTGGTGTTGGTAAGAAGGGGCCACAGTTTTCTTATGTGGTATTAAGTGGAGTAGAGCAGTTATTACCTGTTTGGCTGGGCTGCCCCTGTCCAGGTCCTGTGGCTTTTGTTGGAGCTTTTTTTGGTCTGTGCCCATGGGTATTTCTTGGTAGCTGGCTCCTTCGGCTTCAAGTCAGGGGAATATGTGGTAGAAAGAAAAACCAGTGAACTTAGCACATACTGTTCCAAGGTCCCTGGCCATTCTGCCACCCTCTCTCCACCTTTCAGAGTCTCCTGTGCTCATTTTATATGCAATGTCCAGGGTTTTCATTCTACTTAGTTGGGAAGCATTAGAAAAATCTCCTCTGAAGATTTAATCTTAAATAGACATGTTTATCTATCTTGCCCATCCCTTCTCGTGAAAAATTAACAAAATGTAGGAAGTGAAAAGATACCACTCATCCCCAGTCATGTGAGAAGATTCTGCATGGTCTAGTGAACTTCCTTCTGGACTTTTCTCTGCCAATTTATTTGTGTGCCTCACAAATAAATCGATCACAAATAAAAGGATCCCGCTGTAGATCAATGTCCTGTTTTTATGCTCCTCCCCAGCATGTAAGCATTGGTCCATATGGTTCTAAAAGCTCCCTGGGGATCCTGCTAAGTGGCCGTGTCAGATTCTGGAGGTGACTGGAGCACTGTCTGTCCACCCACCTGGCCCTTGGACTTGGGTTTGCTTCTGTGATGCCTTGACTGTCTAGTCAGTTTTCTGTCACTTGTAACAGAATACCTGAAACTGTAATTTATAAAAAAAATAATTGACTTCTCATATTTATGGAGGCTGAGAAGATTCGGGTTGAGGGGCTCCATCTGGTGAGAGCGTTCGTGCTGGTGGGGGCTCTGTGGTGTCCCGAGGTGGGTGCAGGGCGTCACATGGCGAGGGGCTGAGTGTCCTGACGCGCTTGCTCCGGTCTCTCTTCCTCTGCTTACAAAGCCACCAGTTCCACTCCCATGACAACCTATTCATCACCTCGTAAAGGCCACACCTTTCAATACTGCCACATGGGGGATCAAGTTTCCAGCACCTGAAATTTGAGGGCCACATTCAAAGTATAGCAAGTAGATCCTCAAACACCTAACCAAGGCTCAAAGGAAAAAGCATCCAAATCTGTTGTTAATATATACTCTCAGTTTTTCCCTCGGGACCCCCACTGCGCGCGCTCACACACACACACACACACACGCGCACGCGCGCGCACACACACACACCCCTCCCAGGAAGTCGTGCACACACACACACACACACACACACACACACACACACCCCTCTCCCAGGAAGTCGTGTCAGAGTGATGAATTCTTTTGTATTTTTTGTCACTGGGGCAATTACCATTTTTTCCCCATTTAAGAAACCAACATCAAGTTGACTCCCACAGGTCCTTGTAATGAAATCCAGTGGCTTCCCGAGGCCTGTTTTGGATTCTGTGGAACAGCCTGGGAAGACAGGCTTTTCCACACTGACCTCTTCCGAGCAGCAGATCCACTTAGGGGCTCATTCAGATACAGCCTCTGAGGCTCCACCCCGACCTACTGAGTCAGAGTTTTTACTAAGATGCCTGTGATTCATATGTACAGGCAAGAGTCCTTGTTCCAAAACCCTGACTCAAATTTAGAATTTTTGAGGTATTCTCTTTCTTTTTATTTTAAACTTTTTCTTTGGAATTAATTTTAAAGTTAGGGAAGATGGCAAGAACAGTACAGAGACTTCCAAATACCCTTTCCTTCACTTTCCCCGTTCTCCCTCTCTCTTCCTTACCCACTCCCACCCCCTCATTCTATTTTTCCCCAAATCTTCAGTTAGATGCAGACGTTTGTGCCCCCTTATTCATGCCAAAGGAGCGTATTTCCTAAACACAAGGACAATCTCTTAACCACAATACAGTTATCACATTGAGGAAATTTCACATTAAAACAATAATGATCCAGCATCGTTGCTTCTTATTTAGTTGTCCCATCTCTTAACACTTCCTCCTTGGGTTCTCAATGTTTGTCATGCTGTGGCTAGTTTTGAAGAGTGGAATATCGTGATAGGTGATACAGCTTCCTTCCCTCAGGTGGGGTTAGACTCACAGTGGCACTCAGGCCACGCATTTTGCAGGAGAACCACACTGGGCTGTGCACTCCCCATGCAGCACATCTGGAGGCATTGAAGGTGGGGTGTCCTGCATGGGTCACGTCAGCTGTGATCACTGGGATACATATGTACAATTGACGCATAATTATTCCATAGGTGTTTTTTTTTTATATTAACATCTTTTACTTTTCACCAACATGATTCCTTTAAGTGCCCTCTGCCCTCTATATTTTTGCTTTTTTTAAAAAAAAAAAAAAAAAAAAAAGACTAGTCAAGGCTGGGCTTGGTGGCTCACACCCATAATCCTACCACTTTGGGAGGCCAAGGTGGTTGAATCACTTGAGCTCAGGAGCTCAAGACCGGCCTGGCAACATGGTGAAACTCCATCTCTACTAAAAATACCAAAAAAAAAGTAGCTGGTCATGGTAGTGAATGCCTAGAGTCCCAGCTACTTAGGGGGCTGAGGCCCAAAAATCATTTGAACCTGGGAAGCAGCGGTTGCCGTGAGCCAAGATTGCACCACTGAACTTCAGCCTGGGCGACAGAGCAAAAACCGATCTCAAAAAAAAGAGAAAGAAAGAAAATCACTCCTTCCCAGCCGTGTCCTGGGTGCCTGGCCCCAACACCCGGGGAAACCATCTGACAGTAACTGATAGTTTTCCAGAGAGGTAGGCAGATGCAAAGCATGTTTTAAAAATTATTCTGTTCCTTTTTTGCTTGTCACATAGATACTAGTAATATAAAAGTCCTTTGAGTTACTTTTCTTTTTTCCACAAAAATTTTATTTTGTGGTCCTTTCCAATTATATAAAGGACTGCTTTATTTTCCTGGTTTCCTAGTATTATATGGATATACCATCATTTTAAATTGAAATTTTAAAATGAAAATTTTAAAATGAAGCATTGATCTAATAAATACTGAAAACCTTGACACACATCAACAAGACAGTGGATTAAGTAATGAAAATTAGGCCAGGCACCATGGCTCATACTGGTAATCCCAGCCCTATGGGAGGCTGAGGTGGGAGAACTGCTTGAGCCCAAGCATTTGAGACCAGCTTGAGTAACATAGCAAGACCTCATCTTTACAAAAATAAAAAATTAGCCAGGCGTGGTGGCTCACTCCTGTAGTCCCAGCTACTTGGGAGGCTGAGCAGGAGGATTGCTTGAGCCCCAAAGGTTGAGGCTGCAGTGAGCTGTGGTTGTGCCACTGCACTCCAGCCGGGGTGACAGAGTGAGACCCTGTCTAAAACAATATAAAGATAAAAATAGAAATTAAAATCAGGTTTTTGACACATTCCCATGGTCCATGATTCAAAGTTTATGAAAAAAATCTCCCTGTTACACCTAACCCCAGAGTCCCAGGAACCTCTTGAGAAGCAGCTAACCTTCGGAACTCCTAGACGCCCTGCACTTGGTGGCCATCCGGATTCCATCATGCACAGGTGTTTTCCTGCAACAACACACTTTGAAGAGAATTCCTTCTCAGTACAGAGAGGCCGTCATTCTTTCTGTGCGTGTAGGATCATCCCTTGTGAGGTTTCTGTAGCTTACTTAATCCGCTGTCTTCTTGATGTGTGTCAAGGTTTTCAGTATTTATTAGATCAATGCTTCAGTGAAGCAGCTTTTGTAGACTACGTTGCACATGTGCAACATAAACTTGAGAAATCCCTGCACGGAAGGGTGGGCATGTTGGTAACGTGCAACAACATAAACTTTAGGAATCTCTGCATTGAGGGGCGAGCACGCTGGTGACCTCTGGACATTGCCCAGCAGCGCACCATAGGAGTGGTGGATGTGCAGCCTCCCCAGCACTGAGGAGGAAGACCTGTTTCTCCACATCCTTGGCCACCCAGCCAGGTAGCTGCCATGTGGATTTTGCCAAACAAGATAGGGATGAGGTGGATCCAAGAGCAGAAATAACAAAGCAGTGTGTCCACTGGCGCCTGGACCTGGGGTAGTCGGTCTCCTTTCTGTCTCTTCTATCTGCATGTGTTGCTTTGGGCTCTTCCCTCAGCCCCAGCTTCCACACCACCCCCCTCCCCTAGTGCTATGGTCTGAATGTTTTTGTGTTCCCCTCCCCACAGCTTTGACATGTTGAAATGCTAGCCCCCAAGCTGCTGGCATTAAGAGGTGGGGCACTGGGGAGATGATCAGGTTATAAGGGCAAATCCATCATAAATGGATTAGTGCCCTTCTAAAAGAGGCCTCAGAGAGCAGCCTTGCCCCTTCCACCATGTGAGAACACAATGAAATGATGACCATCTATGGAGCAAGGAACTGGGCCCTCACCAGAACCCAACTATGCTGGTATCAGCTGGGGACTTCCTAGCCTCCAGAACTGTAAGACATACATTTATGTTGTTTATGAGTCCCCAGTCTGCGGTATTTTGTTAGAGCAGCCCAAATGGATTAAGACAGAAAATTGGCACCGAACATTTTGGGTGCTACTCTAACAAATACAACGTGGAAGAAGCTTGGGAACCGGGTAATGGGTAGAGGCTAGAAGAGTTTTGAAGTGCAGGCTAGAAAAAGCCTGTGTTGCCATGAACAGACAATTTTTTCTTTTTCTTTTTCTTTTTTTTTTTTTTTTGAGATGGAGTCCTGCTCTGTCACCCAGGCAGGAGTGCAGTGGTGCGATCTCTGCTCACTGCAACCTCAGCCTCCTGAGTAGCGGAGATTACAGATGTGCACCACCACACCTGGCTAATTTTTGTATTTTTAGTAGAGACAGGGTTTTGCTATTTTGGCTAGCTAGGCTGGTCTGGAACTCCTGACCTCAGGTGATCTGCCAGCCTCAGCCTCCCAGAGTGCTGGGATTACAAGTGTGAGCCACCGTGCCCAGCCCATGAACAGACTATTACGGGTGATTTCTAGTGAGGCTCCAAAAGAAAAGAGGAGATTTGAAATCCTCAACCAGAATGTTGGTAAAAATGTGAACAGTAAAGCTATTCTTATGAGGTCCCAGATGGAAATGAGAAACGTGTGGTGGGCAATGGAGGAAAGGCCATCCTTCTTATAGTGGCAAATCACTTGGCTGAACTGTGCTTATGTATTAGTGTTTTGTGGAAGGTAGAACTTACGGGCCACTGCAATTGGATATTTGGCTGCAGAAATATCTAAGCAAGGTTTTGAAGGTGCAGCTTGTGAAATGTGAAAAGAGAGAAGTGATTTAAAGATGGGATTGTTACTTAAAAGGGAAGCAGAACTTAAAGATCGGGAATATTTGTCAGCCTATGTTGGTAAGAGTGAGCCAGCCTGTTTAGGAGAGAAGATAAAGGTTTTGCCATTGAAACTGAGGCTAGGAGCTAGTCCAAGAAAATGGAAAAATGACCCCAAAGGCAATTCAGAAATCATCAGGGCTCTTCTGCCCATCACAGGCCCAGAGCGCAAGACCCGCAGCAAGCAGGGGACCACAGCAGAGAGCCCCGCTTCAGTCACCCCTGAAGCCCTAGATGGTGGGGCCATCAGCGAAGTTCCAGCCCAAGAGAGCCTTGGGCTTCTGAAAGAGACAGAGCTGCCACAGAGGTGGGGCCACTGCAGAGAACCACCTCAAGGGCAGGCCCTCACCAGGGGCTGCCATGGGGCGGGACCACCCAGGGCCTTGGGGACTCAACTCCTGCCCAGTGAAGCTGCCACCTGTGGGTTTGGAAGGCGGGGTCACCTCCCAACACAGTGGGCCTGGGGAGCACAGCATCAAGACAAAAAGGATTATTCTGCAGATTATTCTCAAGCCGTAAACCATAATGTGCTGTGACCCATAGGTTCAGGACTTGCTGGGGACCTGTTACTCCTTTTCTTTTTTTCTGTTTCCCTTTTTTGGAACTGGAATGTTTATCCTGTGCCCGTCTCACCACTATATATGTGTGTGTGTGTGTGTGTGTGTGTGTGTGTGTCTCTGTGTGTGTGTTTTGTTTTTTTTTTTTTAAGACTGAGTCTCACCCTGTTGCCCAGGGTGGAGTGCAGTGGCATGATCTCAGCTCACTGCAGACTCCGCCTGCCGGGTTCAAATGATTCTCCTGCCTCAGCCTCCCAAGTAGCTGGGATTATAGGTGCTCACCACCACGCCTGGCTGCTTTTTGTATTTTTGGTAGAGATGAGGTTTAACCGTATTGGCCAGGCTGGTCTCAAACTCCTGACCTCAGGTAATCTGCCTGCCTCGGCCTCCCAAGGTGCTGGGATTACAGGTGTGAGCCACTGCGCCGGCCTCACCACTATTTGGAAGGCACATAACTTGTTTCATTTCACAGGTTCACAGCTGGAGAGAATTTTGTGTCAGGTAGAATTGTGCCTTGAGTTTCAACCGTAACTGATTTAGATGATATTTAAATGAGATGTTGGACTCCGGACTTTTGAGTTGATGCTGGAATGAATTAAGACTTTGAGGGTTATTGGGATAGAATGAATTTGTTTGGCATGTGAAAAGGATATGAATTTGGGGGAACCAGGGGCAGAATGCTATGGTTTCAGTGTTTATATCTCCCCAAAATTTGTGTTGAAATTGTAATCCCCAAGATGATGGTATTAGGAAGTGGAGACTTTTGGGGAGATGATCTGGTAACAAGGGCAAAGTCCTCATGAGTGGGATTAGTCCCTCCTAAAAGAGGCCCCAGAGAACTCCCTTGCCCTCTCCATCATGTAAGGACACAGAAGACACCTGTCTTTTGACCAAGAAGTGGGCCCTCACCAGGCACCCAGCCTGCTGGCACCTTGATCTTGGACGTCCAGCCTCCAGAACTGTGAGGAACAGATTTCTGTTGTATAGAAACTGCCCGTCCTACAGCGTTGTGTTGTCACAGCCTCAGTGGACTAAGACTGAGACACCTAGCTCGTCCCGGACTGAGGCATCCCTGTTCTCCTGTGCTTTCAGAGTCGGGTTTCTCCATTCAAGGACATGATTTTATGCTTCTCTGAAGAGGATTGGTCCCTTCTAGATCCTGCCCAGACTGGCTTCTATGGAGAGTTCATCATTGGGGAGGATTACGGGGTCTCAATGCCTCCAAGTAAGACTTAACTTCCCCCCACACCTCAAGACCAGGGAACTGGGCAGGGGAGTTCTCACTTGGAGTAAGAGTCAACTTCGTCCCATAGGATCAGGGAAGCGGGGCCTGCATCAGATCTCTCTGTTCACCCCCAACCTGGACAGGAGGTCATTTGCACACAGCGGCCCTACAGGCAGTGTGTCCGATTGACCATCACCTGCTGTCTCGCCACATCAGGCTTATCAGAACCAAATAGAACATGTGCTGTATGTCCATTTCTCTTCCATCGTTCTTACCGTTTTGTCCCTTTATGTCTGCTTTACACCCGAAAGCCTCAGAGAGACCCCCAAGCCCATAGCTCTCCCTGCGTGTGCTGCCCCCACTGCCCCTGCACTGCCAGCTCTGGCCTTTTCACTTCTCGCCCCTGATGGTGCCATGCCCGCTGGGCATCCCTCCGCCTTCTCTCTTCTGGACCAGCCCTGGTTGCTGCAGGATCAGATTACTAATAAACATGTACCCTGCCTTTTTCTTTGAACAGACGACCTAGCTGCCCAGCCAGATCTCTCCCAGGGAGAGGAGAATGAGCCACGCGTTCCAGAGTTGCAGGATCTCCAGGGCAAAGAAGTGCCCCAGGTCTCCTACTTGGGTGAGTAATGATTCCAGAACTGAGTGGACAGAGTAGGGGGAAGGGTTGCTGGCAGCCGGAGGTGAGCCCACTCTCTGGCTTCTCTCTGCGGCCCCTAATTGCCTTCTTCATTTCCCCAGACTCTATGTGGGTCTTGCATGTCTTGCCTTGTCCCTGACTTTTCATAGAAAGAATGGAGGATCTTAATTTTGCCAGGCATTGGAATTGTACTCCCTTGGCCAAGGACTGGGAAATAATAGGAATGTCTTTCTCCTCTGCCTGTAAGTAACATCTGGTTTGTGCTGACAATGCAGCAGCCCCTCCAGGAGTGAAGTCAGATACTCATGACAAGCCTAGTTGCAGAGGGAGTGTCTCCTAACTGGGCACCGAGCGCAGCCCTTTGAGGTGCCTCACCTGTCTAGTCTTCCCATCTGCCTGGTACAGGGGTGCTGTGAGGACACTGGGGTGTGGGGAGGTGCTGGGGCTCAGCAGCAGCAGTTTCCAGCCCTCCTTCAGGCTGTGTCGCCAGCACTTGCACCCATGATCTCCATGCCATGGTGCTTCGAAGCATCTGCTCCTTCAGGAGGAAATAGCTTTGTACAGAATCATCAGCAGCTCCACACCTTCTTCCCCTTTGGGACCTAGAGCTGGCATGAAGCAGACAAGGTTTTGACACACCATCCCCACCTGGAACAAGCGTTCAGAGACTTGGTGTGGTGCAGTAGCTCCTGTACCATCTCTACCCTGTAGGCTCTGCACAAGCTGTTTGTGCAGGATGTGCGGAGTGTGCAGGAGCCTGTGGTGATGACTATAGAAAACCCACCACAGAAAGTGGGAATAAATATGGGGCTGGGGGAAGTGCTTGTCTCTGGCCATAGAGTGGGTGGAGTAGAACCCGGATCTACGTCGATTCTGTCTAGCGTCAGAGCTCATGTTTGTGGAGTTGGCCCATTTTGCCTTCAGGTTCATTCACTCAGCAGACACTTATTGAGTGGCCACCCCCTGCCAGTCCCCAGGACGGAGCCCAGGGCCGCCCCCAGATCGTAGCCTGGCATCTATTCGGATAGCACCCTCCCAGGTAGTGCTGTAGGTGCAAAACAAATCAATTTTTCCATTTCCTCCTCTGGAAAGACTCTCCAAGTCTCCAGCCATTCCAGGTAGAAGAAAGAAGGAAACGTGAGGAGCTGCAGGTGCCAGAGTTCCAGGCCTGCCCACAGACGGTGGTGCCTCAAAACACCTACCCAGGTAAAGAAGGGTCAGGGAGGTATGGGTTTGTCCCTGTGTGTCTGTGGTGTGTCGCATGAATGTATGTATGCATGTGTGGCATAGGGGATGGTTGTGTTGAATGCATGTGTGCGTGCATACACATGTGGTATATGTGGTGTGCTGCATGTGTGAGTGTGTGCATTCATGGGTGCACCTGTGTGTTGGGGGCATGTGGGTGTGTGATGTAAATGTGCGGTGGTGATGGCATGGGACAGTTAGGAACTGAACCCCTCAGGATCCCCGCCGACCTCTGCTGTGGTGTTCTTAGCTGCTTGCCCTGATTCCGTTGTGCTGGGGTCATTCTCCAGCTCACTCCCAATCCCAGGCTCACCCTCCTTGCCTTTCCCAGGGGCCGGGGAGGGTGTGTCAAAGCAGGGTGCTGCTGTAGTGCTGTTGGTGATGCAGTGAGTGTTTTTCTTCTCTCAGCATGGATGGCCAGCATCCTGGCACAGAATCTTGGAACTGGGATTAAAGAGCAGGTTTCTGGCATACTGAAGCTGCACAGGACTCTTGGAAAGTGTATGTTCCATTCCTGCTTTCAGAGAAATAGCCACAGTGTAGACTCTGAGTCGTCTTGGTAAAAGTCACCACTTCCAGAAGCAGAGGCTACAATACTGCCATCTTTCTCTTCTCAATACAAAACCCAAGCCTCTGATTCTTACCTGAACCCACGTGTCATTGTAGTTTTCTGCAGCTATGGAGACCAACTCACACATATTATCTCTTCTACCTGTGATGCTTTTGAAGGCAAGATTTATGCCATTTTGACCCAGCTCCATGCATCTTGTACTTGGCCCCCTTTCATGCATGGACAAAGGGGCTTTTCTAGTGTGGGAGATCTGAAAGGATGAGATCCTGCTCCACAAGCATGGATGCCCACCCCTGGTTTTCTAAGAAGCCCACCTCTGCGTGCCAAGAGTGATGCATTCATTTGGGGTCCACTTGGAGTTCAAGCGCAGGCCTGATGTTTGTGGTGCACTTTGAATCTTCTCTAGCTTCTTTCTGCCCATAGCATGTCTCTCAGCCCCATCAATATACTTTTAGAAGATGGATGGATGTTCATTTATACACAGGAGTTTTCAACTCCATTCTTCCCTTGCTGGACTCTGACACAGACTGCTCTGAAACAGCCAGAAGCCAAGGGTTGCTACTGAGAAAGGGGAGAGACGATATATTTCAAAGAGTGGGCACTGTACTTATTTTGGTAGCTCCTGCCAGCTTGCCTTCCTAAAAGGCTTTTCCCGCCAGCTGATGCCGGATAGCTGGTGATAAGGTCTGCTTCTCTATATCCATGCCCACGCAGGACACTCCCAGATGTTCAGTTTGTGCCAATCAAATAATGCTACTACATCCGCCACTGAGGTGGAATATCTTTTCTTGTTTATTGTGTTCTATGAATTGCCTAGTTAGTATTCATTTATCCTTATTTATTTATTTTTGCACTCATACTTGTTTTCTTTATGTCCTAAACATTGCACCAGGATTCAGTGATTTACATGATGACATGATTCTGTGCATTGTATCTTCATGGCACCTTCTGAGATAGGTGGCATGATGTCTCTGTATTGCAGCTGGGGCACCCGAGAGCTGAAGTCACTTGCCCAGAGTCCAGTGCTCACAAGCTGTAGGTGGTGGAGTGAAGATTTGAACTCAGGCTGGGCGCAGTGGTTCATGCCTGTAATCTCAGCACTTTGGGAGGCCGAGGCGGGCAGATCGCCTGAGGTTAGGAGTTCAAGACCAGCCTGGCCAACATGGCGAAACCTGTCTCTACTAAAAATACAAAAATTAGCCAGGCACAGTGGCAGACACCTGTAGTCTCAGCTACTGGGGAGGCTCAGGCAGGAGAATCGCTTGAACCTGGGAGGTCAAGGCTGCAGAAATCATGACACTGCACTCCAGTCTGGACAACAGAGCGAGAGTCTGTCTCCAAAAAAAAAAAGAAAAAGAAAAAAAAAACGGCCAGGTGCAGTGGCTCACGCCTGTAATCCCAGCACATTGAGAGGCTGAGGCAGGCAGATCGCTGAGGTCAGGAGTTCAAGACCAGCCTGGCCAATATGGCGAAACCCCATCTCCACTAAAAAATATAAAAATTAACCAGGCGTGGTGGTGGGCACCTATAATCCCAGCTGCTTGGGAGGCTGAGGCAGAGAGAATTGCTTGAACTCAGGAGGTAGAGGTTGCAGTGAGCCAAGATCACGCCACTGCGCTCCAGCCTGGGACACGGAGCAAGACTCCATCTTAAAAAAAAAAAAAAAGATTTGAACTCAGGCTGTCAGGCTTCAGACCCATGGCTTTTACTCTACATTACCAAACCACGGTTTGCTTTTTCTGTGGATTCATAGAAACTGCCATCTTTCATAGGTTCTTCTAAATACCAAATCCAAGTCTCTGATTCTTACCTGAACCCACGTGTCGTTGTAGTTTTGGGTCTGAATCCCTTGCCTCTGCTGTATTCATACATAGTTTCTTCCATTTCCCTCAACTTTGTTTATGTGTCTTGCAGCATATAAATGTTTTGTTTTGTTTTGTTTTGTTTTTTAAAGATGGGGTCTCTTTATGTTGCCTAGACTGGTCTTGAAGTCTTGGGCTCAAGCAGCCTTTCTGCTTTGGCTTCCCAAATAGCTGGGGAGACTACAGGCGTGTGCCATCATGCCTGGCTTAAATGTTTTCTTACAGTTTTTAACTGTAGGTACACTTATTCGTCATCTTTTTGGTTTTATGCCTTGCTTGAGAAAGCTTCCCCATTCTAACTTTACAAGAATATTTTACAGTTTTTAATAATGCCTTTATCATTTTGGTTTTTCACATCCAGCTTCCTAGTCTCCCCTGCTGTTCCCCTTAATCCCCTCAGCTCGCAGGAAGTCATTCATTCCTGGCCAGAGCATCCTTCCTGAGGCGATAGTCATGGAGTTACCTGCACGCTGCATGCCTTTGCCACTCCGCCTGCAACAAGCACTTGCAGCAGCCTGGCTGCCTGCTAGCTATGTGGCCACGAGCCCTGGTCCCATCTCCACTGGCTCAATTCCCCTGAAACCTTGGGCAATTTCACTTTTCTGCCTTACATTTTTTATTTGGAAAACAGAAATAATAGTTAAAGCTGCCTTGTACAGTTATTGCTAAGGATTAAATGGTTTAATGCATATACTGGCAGTTAGACCAATAGCTCTTTTCTTTTTTTTCAGACGGAGTCTAGCTCTGTCACCCAGGTTAGAGAACAGTGGCGCGATCTTGGCTTACTGCAACCTCTGCCTCCCGTGTTCCAGCAATTTTCCTGCCTCGGCCTCCCACCATATGTGGGAGCCCACCCACCCATATGTCGTCATGTTCACTTAATTACATCTTGAAAGAGCCTATCTTCAAATACAGTCACATTCTGAGGTCCTTAGGGTTAGGACTTCAACATGAAATTTTGGGACAACACAATTCATCCCCTGTAAGACCTCACCCTCAGGACCTTCAAAATTCATGTCTTTCCCACATGCACAATCCATTCACCTCATCCCAACAGCCCCCAAATTCTCAACCTGTTTCAGCATCAACTGTAAGTCCAAAATCTCATCTAAATATCAACATCTCAAATCAGGTATGGGTTAGACTTGAAGTATGATTCATCCTGAGGCAAAACCCTCTCCAGCTATGAACTGTGAAACCAGATGTTTTTTGCTTCCAAAATACAACTGTGAGAAAAGCATAGCATAGACCATTCTCATTCCAAAATAGAGAAATCCAAGAGAAGAAAGGGTAATGGGTCCCAAGCAAGTCTTAAATCTAGCAGGTCAGGGCTAGGTGTGGTGTGGCTCGTGCCTATAATCCCAGCACTTTGGGAGGCCGAGGCAGGCGGATCACCTGAGGTCAGTAGTTCGAGACTGCACTGGCAAAAATGGGGAAACCCTCTCTCTACTAAAAATACAAAAATTAGCCAGACGTGGTGGCACACACCTGTAATCCCAGCTACTCAGGAGGCTGAGGCAGGAGAATTGCTTGAACCCAGGAGGCAGAGGTTGCAGTGAGCCAAGATCATGCCATTGCACTCCAGCCTGGGCAGCAAGAGCGAAACCCCATCTCAAAAAAAAAAAAAAAAAATCTAGCAGGTCATTTCCATGGGATTTTAAGGCTCAGCAATAACCTCTGGCTCAGTTCTCTGTTCTCCAGGCCCAGCAGGCTACTGGCCCTGCTCTTTGGAACTCAGAAGGAAATGACTTCACCTCCTGAGCCTGTACTCTCTGGTCCCATGATGACAGTGGCAGTCCTGTAACCTCTGAGCCACCTTTGGAGTCATTCTTCCCTTTTCTTGAAGGATAGTACATATTCATAGCCAGATAGATCTATCGGCCAGTTTGTAGAATCCCAGAAGTCCTAGCCTTCTTTTATTTCATCCCATCTCTTTTCCTTTCAGTTCCAGCTGGCAGTGTTTCTGCTGGTATATAATACTCAGAAACCCTGCCCTCCATGCAGTCCACAGGGTTGCAGGCCGTCAGACGAGGGTGTCCTCCATAGACCTTCCTGGATAACCTCATCTCTGTTCCTGGCTTCTGTTGAGATGGTTGATTGGATCCGTGAATCATACCCAGAATCTCTTTAACAAATGATGAGCCAGCCACACTCTTGGTGTCTCTCCAGTGCACGCTTTCTTATTTTTTGCCGTATGGATAGACAGAATTTTCCAAATCTTGAAGTCATGGTTCCTTTTTGCTACAACAATTCCTTCTTCAGTTTATCTCTCTCATCTCACGTTTCACTATAAGCGGCAAAAAACTAGTCTTTGCCTTTGACACTTTGCTTCGATACCTCCTCAGCTCAGTATCCGAGTTCCTTACTTACAATTTCTGTTTCCACAGAACAGTTGAATATGGTTTGGCCAAATTCTTTGCCACTTTATAATTGGAGGATCTCCTTTTCTCCAATTTCCTATAACGTCCGTATTTCTACCAGCCACTTCCTCAAGGCTTTTTAAACATGCACTTCAGAACTCTCCTGGCCTCTCCCCATGACCTAGTTCTAAAATCACTTCGACAGTTTTTGGTCTTTGTTTTAGCTGCACCCTACTTCCTGGTGCCAAAGTCTATGTTAGTCTACTGTGGCTACCATAACAAGGTACCACAGGCTGGGTGACTTAAACAACAGAAACTTACTTTCTTACAATTCCAGAAGCAACAAGTCCAGAATCAAGGCTTCAGCAGAGCTGGTGTCTTCCAAGGCCTTTCTCGTCTTGGAGACGGCTCCCATCTTGCTGTGTCCTCACAGGGTCCTTCCCTCTGTTGAAGTCTGCCTCCAGTCTCCTCCTCTTAGAAGACCAGTGATTTTGGATTGGCCCCACCATCTGACTTCATTTTGACTTAATTACTTCTTGAAAGACCCTATCTCCAAGTAATCACATTCTGAGGCTCTATGGGTTAGGGCTTCATCATGTAAATTTTCAGGGGGACACAATTTCGCCCATAACATGCACTGTCTGCTCTCATAATTCCATCTCCTCGCCCAGTTAACAAGTAAGAGATCTTAGCGGTCCACCTTGTCACTTTGTTTTCTTCTTCCACCCAAGTCCATTAACAGAAGTCAACTGCTGATCAAGTACCTTGTCATCGGCAGCCTGGTAAAAGTTACACCTTGCTCTTGTCTCCACCCCATGAGGTCCACAAAGTACATCATACACATGACCTCACCTGCCCCACCAGCAGCTTAGAGCAACGGGCTGCCACTGTCATTCTCACCTTGTAGACGAGATGACCCAAGCTCAGAGAAGCTGTCTGGCTGGAACGAGGTTCCTGCAGCTCGAAAACCAAGAGTCGAGATAAGCGTCAAACATAGCCTCTCGGCGGGCGCAGTGGCTCACACCTGTAATCCCAGCACTTTGGGAGGCTGAGGCAGGTGGATCACCTGAGATGGGTGGCTCGCTTGAGCCCAGGAGTTTGAGACCAGCCTGGGCAACATAATGTGACCCCATCTGTACAAAAAATTAAAAACACATGCACACACACAAACACAATCTCTGTCTTCATCTGATGATTTCCCTCCTATACTACGTGGGTTCTTGGCAGACTCAGTACCCACTCCCAGACTCATGTTCCCCCGACCCCCTTGTGACTGAGGGACAAATGCCCCCTCCGCTTCCACCATTGCCCTTTATCTCTCTGCTCTCCATAGCCTCTGTGTCTTCCTGCCCTGCTTCTGTTTGTCCAACTTCTCCTGTCCTGAGCTGCTCTGACTAGCCAGGGCTCTCCTCCCCACAGTCATGAAGCCCAGACTAACCATGTTCCTACTCTTATCTGGGAGGGCCTGGTTCACTCCCCCCAAGTTCTAGATTTGAGTTCTACATTTCACAGCAGTGAGGAAACAGGCCACCTGTATGGTGGGCTCTGCTCCATAAGCCGGGACCTCAGGCCGGGCTCTGCACTGTCCACCCAGCCCCGCCCCGTGGTTCCACCTTCCCAACATCACAGACTCAGGATGCAGGAAGTCCAGAGCAGCTTTATCCATCACCACCTGTGGCCTCAGAAATGCGGTGCTACTGGGAGCCGGGGAGCTGTGGGGGACCCAGGACTCTGGGCAGTCTGGGACTGTTGAGCAGCCTAGCAAGGCTGAGTAGCATTTCAGCCCTCCTTCCTGGCACAGATCACCTTAGTTTATGTGTAAACATGGCAACCAATAGGTCATCGGGTTGCGTCCAGGAGCAAATAGGAATGTGCATGTCAAGTCTAGCACAGTCCCTGGAGCATGCAAGTGCCCAGCACATGATATGTGTAGGTTGTAGAGTCTTCCTCTCTCAAGTCCTTTCACTATCCTGATAGAGCTTTCCCCCATGCCTTGTTAAGTGCATGATCTGTAAATGGTCAAGGCTTTACCCAGATAAATACAGACTCCTAGAGCTTGGGGGGATGGGGTGGTCTCCGTGGGTAGAGAACAAAAGGGTTGGGGGTGGAGATAAGGGAAAATGGCTGGGAAGAGGGAGAGCAAGGTGCCCAGCATGCTCTGGACACAGCGGGGCCCATGCTGAAGATTTCTTCCTCACAGGCTACACCAGTGGCCCCTGCAGGGCTGGCCAGGCCGCCCCGGTCACCGAGGACCATTGTAAAAACACGGGTTTGTAAACTCCAAGCTGAGTGTTCCTCCGCCGCGGTCATAGGGGCTGGGATGTGGCCTGTGCAGCGTCGCTGACCTGCATGTTGCCTTCCTGTAGCTGGCGGCAACCCGCGATCTCTAGAGAACAGCCTGGATGAAGAAGTGACCATCGAGATCGTTCTCTCCAGCTCTGGGGACGAGGACTCCCAGCATGGCCCGTACTGCACAGAAGAGCTGGGGAGCCCCACAGAGAAGCAGCGCAGCCTCCCCGCCTCCCACCGGAGCAGCACCGAGGCCGGAGGCGAGGTGCAGACCTCCAAGAAGTCCTACGTGTGTCCGAACTGTGGGAAAATCTTCCGCTGGAGGGTCAACTTCATCCGGCATCTGCGGAGCCGCAGGGAGCAGGAGAAGCCGCACGAGTGCTCGGTGTGCGGGGAGCTGTTCAGCGACAGCGAGGACCTGGATGGGCACCTAGAGAGCCACGAGGCCCAGAAGCCTTACCGGTGTGGTGCCTGCGGGAAGAGCTTCCGCCTGAACTCCCACCTGCTCTCCCACCGGCGGATACACCTGCAGCCGGACAGACTCCAGCCGGTGGAGAAGAGAGAGCAGGCGGCATCCGAGGACGCGGACAAGGGTCCCAAAGAGCCGCTGGAAAACGGCAAGGCCAAACTGAGCTTCCAGTGCTGTGAGTGTGGGAAGGCCTTCCAGCGGCACGACCACCTGGCTCGGCACCGCAGCCACTTTCACCTGAAGGACAAAGCCCGGCCCTTCCAGTGCCGGTACTGCGTCAAGAGCTTCACGCAGAACTATGACCTCCTCCGCCACGAGCGCCTGCACATGAAGCGCCGTTCCAAGCAGGCTCTGAACTCCTACTGAGCCTCTCCGCCTGGGGCGGCCTCACCCTGGCTGGTGCTGCCCCCTCACCTTGGTACTGATCAGCGCCCCCACCCAGGACATACCTTCCCCAGGATAGAGAGCACACCTCCCTCCTGTCCTTGCTCTCAGGTAGTGAGCGTTCGGGTGGTGCCATGGGAGCACTCTCCCTCCCCCAGGTAATGAAAGAGTGGCCAAGTGAGTGTTCTGTTTCTGCTGTGCCAAAAAACGGGGGGGATGTGCCATCACCAGGTTGGACATGCCAGGTGTTCTGCGTCTTAGAGACCCTTGGCCCATGCTCCCCAAGCTCGGGGAGTAAAACTGGGCTATCCCCCGTCAGGGCGGCACCCTGGTCACCAGCCAAACCTCAGTATACTCCCTCCCCTCCTTCCCTGTCTGAACGCTAGGATCTGCTCCTGAAGCTCCAGGATGCCTGCACTTCCACTGAGAAGCTGCTGGCGGATGTTGGACTAGAGGAAAGAAGAAGGCAGGGTGGGACTGATGGGCTCAGTGGGGAGCAGGGCCAGGCACACTGAGCCAGACATGTCATGTCTGAGCCCCAGATTCGTGGCCATCAGGTAGGCAGGAGCACCCCGCAGATCCAAGATGATCAGGCAGCCCTTTTGGGCTGGCCTCTGTGGCAGGGGTCTGCAGAGCTCCTTCTTGAGGTTTGGAAACAGTCGTCATACCTGTTGATTTTCCTGGGGGCCAATCACTAGGGATCTGGAGCTCACCAAAAACAAAGCTTACATTTTAATTTGTGTTGCACACCTACCCCATAATGTCTTTATACCCCAAAGATCCTTGGTAAATGCTTGTGGGTTGGAAGCGGAGTTGTCATCGTTTAAAAGGCACTTAAGTCCCTTCTTCCAATCTGTCCTGTCTAGGAATGTGGAGCTCTGCCCCCAGTGAGGGGTTCTCCTGTCTGGGTGAGCCAAGCTCCAGAACAGAACCTTGCCTGACAACACACTTGATAGATACATTAGCTTGGAGTGCTGGTGTGTCCAAACACTGGCTGGCTTAGAACAACAGGAGTGTATTCCCTGACAGTTCTGGGAGGTGCACGTCCAAGATCAGGGTGTCCTCAGAGTTGGTGCCTTCCGAGAGCTGTGAGGGAGAAGCGGCTTCATGCCTTTGCTGGCAGTTGCCATTCCTTGGTGTGTGGAAGCGTCACCCAGTCTCTGCCTTCATCTCCACATGGCACTCTTGCTGTGTGCGTGTCTGTCTCCAAACCTCCCTTTGTTTAAGGACACCAGTCATATCGGATTAGAGCCCATCCCACCGACTCCAGTATAACCTCATCTGTATCCGCAGCAACCGTTTACCAATAAGGTCACATTCTGAGGTACTAGAGGTTGGGACTTCAACATCGGAATTTGAAAGGGACAGCATTCAGCCCATGACTCCAGATAAACGTGAGGTATGCTATATCATTCCTAATTTACAGATGAGTCAATACAAACTTGAGTGAGCTTGCTCACAATTCCATCAAAGGCAGGGTTCAGACCCAAGTTTCAGCATTTAGGGCAGGTGTCCTCTGCATGGAAGAATCATACTCAATAGCCGTAAACGCTGACAAATTCCCCTTCCTCCCTGCCTTCTGATGGGGGCTGGGCAGGCCAGCTGGAGCTGTGTCTCCTGCTGGGATTCCGGACTGAGAGTGACAGCAGGTAGTGAAACCTCAAGCAATTTAAAACATGGTATTGTTCCTGGAAGACTGGTTATGTTGGCTAGGGTCAGCAAGAGAGGGCATCAAGGCTGTAGTCTAGCAGTGATTTAATCTGCAAGTCAAACCAGACGGGTATTTTGTATTATTCATATGTCACATCCTACCAACAGACAGTAAGTCAGGCAAGGCTCCTGGTGCTCCTTGTCACTCACGTAATTTTCACATCAGGAAAACTCTGGGCTGGGTGCAGTGGCTCACACCTGTAATCCTAGCACTTTGGGAAACCAAGGTGGGTGGATTGCCTAGCTCAGTGACACCAGCCTGGGCCACATGGCAAAACCCCGTCTGTACCAAAAATGCAAAAAATTAGCTGGGTGTGGTGTTGACGTTTGCGGTCCCAGCTACTCTGGAGGCTGAGGTGGGAGGATTGCTTGAGTCTGGGAGGCAGAAGTTGCAGTAAGCCGAGATCATGCCACTGCACAAGCTAGGTGACAGAATGAGACTCTGTCTCAAAAATAATTAAAAAGCCTCTGCCCCAAACTCGTTAAAAGATTTTATAACCACAACTGCTGTTTCTGTGTAGATGCATCTGCATGCCCAGGAGCAGTAAATGCAATAAAATCATTTGGTTATACTTTGAACACAAAATAAACGGTTGAGGCTTTTACTTTCTAAATAGTTTGTCTCTTGTATCAACATAGCTGGAAAAGGGAGAAATCCGATTTTTAAGGCCAAGGGAGGGGAAAATTCCAAGTAGAAGCCAGGCTCTCTGTACACGTTTACCCCACCTACCTGTGTGCTCCTACCTGTGCTGAGGATTCTCTCTGTAGCTCTAAGGTCTTGGGAAGGTTATTCACCTTCCTGCTTCAGACGTCTGACTCAAGAGAAGAACACTGTTCTACTTACCAGAGTGTTTTTCTGTGTAAAACCACATCATGAAGGAGAAAGCGACAAAGGGAATGTGAGGGGCTGGAAGCCACAGGGAGGCTGTCTCTTGAGTCCCCACCACTGATCCAGAGCCAACCAAGGCACCTCAGGAAATGGAAGGCCACATTGCCTCTGGATTTGGAAATCCTCCTGGGTAATGTAACTGAAACCCAGGTTGATGCCATGCAGCAGGAGCAGCAGGGGGAACGTGCTCTCAGGAGAGGTCGGCCAACCCTCCAGCCCAACACCCTTCACCACAGTGGTGGAGGAGGCTGCACCCAGGAGATCTTTGTCTCCCTTTTGGCCACTGATACCTTTGGCCTTATCTGACAACAGCTACCCCTCGATCCTTCCCTCCCACCCCAGGGGCTGGGCAGCTGGCTGGAGCTTTGTGTCCACCTTGCTCTGGAGGTTGAGACCCCCATCTGAGCAACATCCTCTCTCTTTGTTCCTCTGATCCCTTGGCATCGTCACAAACCCACAGGTGCATAATAAAAACTTGCTGAGTCAATATTCCTGTTAGGCTTTTCATTTTCATTTAAAAAGTAAAATGTGGCTGGGCGTGGCAGCTCATTCCTGTAATCCCAGCACTTTGGGAGGCCGAGGCAGAAGGATTGCTTGAGGTCAGGAGTTTGAGACCAGCCTGAGCAATATAGTGAGACCCCATCTCTAAGAAAAAAATAGAACAATTAGCCTGCCATGGTGGCACATGCCTGTAGCTATTTTGGGGGCTGAGGTGGGGGAAGATCCCTTGAACCCAGGAGACAGAGGTTGCTGTGAACGGTGGAGGTTGCTATGAACGGTGGAGCGCCACTGCACTCCAGCCTGGGTGACAGAGCAAGACTTCATCTCAAAAAACAAAAAGTAAAATGTGAAGCACAGCCAAAACATGTTTTCTAAGACCTGCAGGCTTTAGATAGTTCTGGTCACCTGATCTGGCCCCTCCCCAAAAGAAAGAAGAAGAAATAACTGTTTCATACGCTGGGAGTAGATTGTACTCCTGGTCACACCACAGCTTTAAGCCAACCTTAGTCGTTTTTCTCTTTTCTCTATCTCCCCAACTCTTGCCTCAGCTAGAAGAAGAAACAAATAAAAAAAGATGAGGCCATTGGTGGGAGGGTCCCTATCAGTCCTAAATCATACTGTGGCACAAAGGAAAGAGAAGGCCAGCTTTGAAGCCTGTGGAGATCTTGTCCAAGTCACTCTTCTCCTGTGAGATGGTTTCCCTTCCTCTGCCAAAAGCAGAGTTTGGATCAGATAGAAGTAATTCTGCTTGCAGAGTTACGTAGACGATTCAGCGATGATTATAGCACTTCAGCAATTCCATCAAATAAGCCCACTTTTTTTTCACCCCCCTAAAGACGGGCTCTCACTATTTTGCCCATGCTGGTCTCAGACTCCTGAGCTTCTCCCACCATGGCCTCCCAAAGTGCTGGGATTATAAGTCTGAGCCACCACACCCAGCCTCCAGACACACTTAGTATTAGCAACAAACACTGATACTGTTTGGTCTTGAAAGTGACGGTCAGTGCCCACTACTAGTCCATGCAACAAGGCTAGAGGTTAGAAAACTTGCTTAGGGCAGACTGGCCACAGGAAAGGGACTGTTGAAGGGACCACTGGAAGACCAGGTACCTCTAGCAGCCCAGACCCATGTATAGGGCAGCTGATAGAGTGCCAGTGGCCCAGCATCTGGGGGGTGGTTAGTAGTGATCATGAGCTCAACAGGGGCAAAGCCCAGGGGGTCCATCTGTACCTGTTTTGCCCATCAGATACCAATTGGGAACTTTATCTTCTCTTGAAACCATAGCCTGTAACCAGGTCACCATGATTAATGTGCATATAATTAGCAAAGTACAGAGAAGCCATAGAAATTCCCTGTGAGAAGATGCAAAACTCAGTGTGGGAAAGCAGAGTCCTCAGGAATACACGGAAGTGGGAGGAACCCGGGGCTTACCTCACACATCTTGGCCATAGCCGGGAATATCACAGGCAGGCCGACAACTGTGTGACAAAGGGCTGTCTTCTAATCACACAACCAAATGGCAGGAGAACCACCCTTTCTCCATCACCTGCTTTAAAAAAAAAAATACTATGGTTGTGTCTGTCCTGCCCCATTATATTAGTCTTGCTACACCTTGTCAAAATACGAAGAGGTTGGATACTTGCTATTTTCTACCTTTTTACGTGATGATCAGTCAGGCATAGCCACAAGAGAAGACAGAGGAGAGTCTCAGGAAAAGACGAAGTTTATTCTACTCACAGGTCCTAGAGACAGGAGGCACAGCAGGCCAGGCAGGGCCTCATGGGAAAGACACCAGGTGGCAGGAAGCAGAAGACAGGAGCAAGGAGAAGGTTTGGGCCACCGTCTTTATTGGGGTTTCCTTTGAGAGAGTCAAAGCAGGGCAAGGTGAACAGTTTAGGATTGGTTAGTTTGAATAATTTCTGTGGGCTTTGGGTTACAGGGATGGTTACTAATTGCCTGGCACCAGGCTCTGGGATGCGTAAGACAGAGGAATGTTGCCTCCTGGGGTGTCATGTCAGATACTGGAGGTATGGGTCCGAATGGGTTAGTTTGCGTATCAAAGGCATGCTCCTTGCTGGGCAAGGATTCACTGGCGCATAAACCTCAGATAAGGGGGCCTAAGGACTAAACTCTAACTGATATTGTCTTAAATTTCCTCCTGGGACTGGAGGAAGTCGTTCCCAAGAGCCAGACCTAACATTCTTTTCTGCTGACCCCAAATTTTAAACAAAGCTTCTCTTCTATAACCTACTGCAAATCAGAAAATCTGTGAATTCTACCTATGACCTGTAAGCCTCCGCTTCAAGGTATCCTGTCCTTTTGAGGCTAAACCGATGAGTAATTTCAATGTATTGATTTATAATTTTGCTTGTAATTTCTGCTTTCCTAAAATTTACCCCTGCCTTTATTTTTCTCTTCTCCTTTCTTTTCTTTTTCTTTTCTTTTTTTTTTCTTTTTTTAATGACTAGTCAGATGCAGTAGTGAGAGTCAGGGGAAGAGCAGAACAAGGTGTTTGATGTGTAACTCACTGAACAATCGTGATAACTCATTACCTTTGCACCAGCCGCCCTGCCTTTAAAAACCCTTTCTTGCAAGCCGCTGTGGAGGTCAGATATTAAGTGTGAGCTGCCTTATTCTCCTTGCTTGGCATCCTGCAAATAAACACCTTCCTTTCTCCTGCCACAAACCTCAGGACGGGTGTTTGTCCTTATTGCACTGGACGAGTGGATCCCAGTTAGATTAAATAATGGCCAGGTGTGCAGTGTTGGGGCTCGAAGATGGTCAGTACAGACTTGCATTATAGTTGAGAAGAAGAGGACAGATGATATCCAATACATTCCTTTCTCACCACTTTCTCCACGGTTACTCACCAAGGGCAGAGACCTCTGTCTGTGTCTGCTTACATCATCCAGCTTGCGGTCTAAGACAACATGCTCCTGCAAAATGAGAGCTTGGTATGTGTTGGATAGAGCTGCACCCCATCACTTCTGCCCTCCCAAAAGAAACATAACTCCCATCCAAGCAGGTGCTTGGAAACCAGTATGTTCAGGTGCTGGGGAGAGCTGCCACTGCTCAGACACCAGCCTGTGGTATCAACTAGGTATCCCGCAGACACTCTTTCTCTGGCATCAACTAGATATCCTGCAAACACTCTTTCCAAATACGGTCACATTCACAGGTCCCAGGAAAAGATCTTCATGGAGGCCCCATTCAAACCACTACAGTTCTTTTAAGGGAAGATTTAAATCTCAAAACCAGTTAGGTAATCAATAGTGTTCTACCACTCCAGGAAACTAAAGCTGCCCTCCAGGTTCTGGTTTCTACAGTAAAGTGATTCTCCCTCAGGAAATAGTTATCTTCATGTAACCAACTCAAGTTCAGCTGCTCACAAGAAGCAAGGTGTGGTCAAAGGAAAGCAGCTTTACTAATGAAATGCTAGCAGATGGGAAATGCCAAGGCCTTAAAGAAGCCATTTCCAAAGTTTGGGCTGAGGGCAGGGGCTGAAAAAAGGGAAGCCTGATGTGAAAGGCATGCTGGAGTTGTGCAGGTGCAGGGGCTGTGTCTTGCTCTGATGCCTGTCTTGAGTTATGGTCCACCTGGAGTGCAGGCTGGCACCATCTTCACAGTGGCAATGGCCATGTAACTGAGCAGCTTGGCAGCTAAGCCTCAAACCATGTTTTAAAACTTTTTTTTTCCTTTCTCCTTTCCTCCTTGAACCGTCTAGTCTCAGGCTGTAATAACTTCATTATTTACTTATTTATTTATTTATTTATTTATTTATTATTTATTTTTGAGACAGAGTCTTGCCCTGTGCCCCAGGCTGGAGTGCAGTGGCATGATCTGGGCTCACTATAGCCTCCAACTCCTGGGTTCAAGCAATTCTCATACCTCAGCCTCCCTGGTAGCTGGGATTACAGGCATGTGTCACCATGCCCAGCTAATTTTTGTATTTTTTAGTAGAAATGGGGTTTCGCCATGTTGGCCAGGCTAGTCTTGAACTCCTAACCTCAGGGGACCCGCCTGCCTCAGCCTCCCAAAGTGCTGAGATTACAGGCGTGAGCCACGACGCTTGGCCAACATGTTATTCTGACTTCCTTCCACAAGCAGCGACCAGCCAGGGCCTTTTTCTGCTGGTTACAGTCGGGCTGTAGATGCTCCATCTTCAGGCAGTCTGTAAGTGGGGGAGCATTTCACAGCTGGACCTGCATGCCTGCTGTGTTTCTAATCAAGCCCTGGAATTTCCTAACAAGCATATGGTTAGATAAAGGTGCTTGGGGTAAGGAAGTGTGCAGTGGAAAAGGGAAGGGACTGCAGTTTCAAAGTACATCTCAAGGCTGTATTTTAAGACTAAGGAAAAAAAGGTTTTTGCAGTCTGTTTCAAGGTTGTATCTTGAGACTGGAAAGAAAGGAGGAAAGAAATAAGTTTTAAAATGCATTTTGAAACTCAGCTACTCACATTTAGTCAAGAATCTAGAGTGGTACTGGGTGTGGTGGCTCATGCCTGTAATCCCAGCACTTTGGGAGGCTCAGGCAGGCTAATTGCTTGAGCACAGGAATTTGAGACCAGCCTGGGCAACATGGCAAAAACCTGTCTCCACAACAAAATACAAAAATTAACCAGGTGTGGTGGTGTGCACCTGTGGTCCCAGCTCCTCAGGAGGCTTAGGCAGGCGGTTCACCTGAGCCTGGGAGGTCGAGGCTGCAGTGAAGCTTGATCATGCCACTGCACTCCAGCCTGTGTGACAGTAAGACCCTGTCTAAAAACAAAAAACAACAAAAAAGAATCTAGAGTGTTAAAGCTGAAAGAGACACAGTAAGTTGTCCAGAGCCCTCCTTTGGCCAGGGGGGACAACTTAGTTAAATGTTTTATCTAAGGTTACAGAGTTTGGGCTGAACCAAGTTTCCTGCAACCTCATTCAGTTCTGGGGCTGATCCCGTGGTCGCCAAGGCAGGTGAGGACGCGGAGGCAGGGACTGTAAGTGCCTTGCCCTCAGACTGCCTCAGCAGGGCGGCGGTGAAGCCACGCTGCTCACCACAGTCCTCACAGTGGCTTCAAGCTGGAGGAGGAGTAAGCCTCATAGATGCAGTCGCGTTTCTGAGCGGATGGGACAGTCTGAGAATACTGAATGAGTGAGTGGTTTTGTCATTGTTTTTGGCAGGATGGAGGTGGGTGAAATTTTTCTGAGCTGGGTTTTAAGAAGCAAGAAGAAGCAAATTACTTTTCTGCATCTTATGGCTGGATGGGAAGAAGTTTATGACAGAGGCATGGCTGAAGCCGGGCAGTTTCCCTCCCCGGCCTGGGCGCCTCTCCCTCAGCTCCAGGTGGAGCCTGGAGCGCTGCTCTAGAGGGTGGTCTTTCCCCAGGCTGTGCTCAGTCTTAGGGCGTGGCTGAAGATAGGACGTCTGCTGAGCCTCAGGCCTGACAGTAACAGTGAAGTGAAGACACACCCAGAGAAGAAAACAAAGGTTTTGAAAGGAAGACCCTGGTCTGTTTTGAAATGGGGTCGGGGAGAAGGGCCTTTGGGAGAGGAGGGCTTCCCTTGCCTGGAAATGCCTAGGAGCCACTCGCCACCCATGCCCTCTCCTTTGCCCAGTCAGAGCCACCGCAGCCACCAGCCCCATCGGAAAGGGGCTTAGGAAAATCCAGGACACCGTGGCTCTGCTGTCCTGTGACCCTCACAGCTCCCTCCTGTCTCCTCAGAGGGGCAGCTATTTTTGCAATCCCAAAGCATCACTTTTGGGATGGGTTTAATCCAACCGTGCTGCAGCAGAGGCTCAGGCAGGGTCCAGGTCTGAGTATGGTGGTGCGTCCTAGTCCATAGTTGTCTTGGTAACTGTATTGACTTTCCGGCATAAGTCATGGAAACATCATTTGTGCGCCACTAACTTGGGGGTATTCAGTTCTCCCAACTCCAATCTCCAATCTGCCTGTTTTCCAGAGAGGTCTGCAAGTGCTCTCTAGGGAGACGAAGCGGTGGGCCCTGCCCGGATTCCAGTCTCAACACTGCTGCGTGGCTCTGAGCAATTTCCTAGGAGTCTGTAGAAGTGGCTCCAGGGCACCGCCCTGGGGCTGCCTGGGCAGAGGTGCAGCTGTGCCTGCAAGCCCTTAACCTGAGCTGGGGTGATGGAGGGGTGAGGGCTGGGAGTGGCGAGGGACGCTTTTTCTTCAAGATTTTATCTGTACCTCAACCTGCCCTCCCTGTGGTAGATGATGATCAGGCCAGCAGAACAAGACTCAGGAGCCTTCCTATGACTGGGAAGAAGAGACTTGCGTTATTCACCATTTACCTCCCATGGCACCTGCTGAAACGCCAGGCCCTCTTGGAAGAGCTTGGCACATAGCAGCTCACTGAATCTTCATGATCACCCTGCAAAGGAGGCACAATCATCATGCCCATTTTACAGATGGGCCATACAGTGATAGAAGTTGCTGAGGGACACGCAGCAGATCCAAGATTTCAATTCCGGCAGCCTGTCCAGACTCTGGGCATTTCATAGTGCGTGGAGCTGCTATATACTAACGGTAATTAAAGGCATTGAAAGGTTTTTGTATTGGTTCAAACCCCAAGAGCGCGCCAACGGACAACACAAGGCGGTGTGGAGCAACATGCTGTTTTAATGAGCACCTGGGTGCCGGCGGGCTGAGGCCTAAAATGGTGTCAGCACCAAGTGAGGACAGGGCAGGGATTTTATAGTTCTCTGCAAACAGGAAGTGTCCCAGTCTGACGTGACTGCCACGTAGTAGCCAGACGGCCTCTCTCCATCCTCAGGTGCGTGTCTTCCGGCCGGGGTGCGTGTCTTCCGGCCGGGGTAGGTGTCTTCCGGCCGGGGTGCGTGTCTTCCGGCCGGGGTAGGTGTCTTCCGGCCGGGGTGCGTGTCTTCCGGCCGGCCCTCTTCCTGCTTCTGCTTCTCGCTGACGCGCGCTGCTGGTGCAAGCGGCCTTGCGCCTTGCGACTGGGTCTGAGGAGGGAGGAGTTATTCATCCCCCCAAGCTTTCGGCCCCGGGGAGAATCTTTCATTCCTGTCTATTTGGTTATAGAAAAAGGGAAAAGGGGCGACTTTCTCCATAACTACTTCAGGTGTGACATAGGGGGTGGCGTGGGCACCTCGGAAAAAAAGAAAAAATTTTGGCGTATTCTTGAGAGACGGCTTGGTATCCATCGTGTCGTTGTAGCAGGAGCATCGTCTGGATTGTCTGGCGGTTAACTGTAGTTTCAACAAGAGTTTTAATGGCTTTTATTATCAGTGGGATACCACAGGGGAGAAACAGGAGGACCCCAATGAGGAAGATTACTGTCCCTACCAGCGTTTTAAATCCCCCTAAATTAGAGAACCACCCTCCTAGAAGGTTTGTTGGGTCCCATCCCTTCCAGGTTTGGACTGGTACACGGGCTACTTTTCTGATGTTTGAAGCGATTTCTAGAACCGCTTTTCCGTTACCGTCTATGTTAAGACAGCAATTGGAGATGTTAAACTTACCACAGACCGCACCCTCTTCTGCTAATAAGTAGTCTAGAGCCAGCCTGTTTTGATAAATTGCTGGGTGCGTTTGGTTTTGTTGTCACGCGAGCATTTCCAGCGCTGGGGCGGTTTGGTTAGTGATTATCTCTAGAGCAGCCTGTAGTCTAATTATTCTGTTTAGCATATATGTGGGAGTGCGATAACCCCGTGAACCATCCTCAGCCCAGGTGGCAGGACCGTAATATTCGATGATCCGTTGCGGAGGCCACTCGTCCTCTCACGGTCTTTGGCTTCCTCCTGCCTTTAAGGACTGTTTTTCTCTGGTTATCATACGCAGGGACTCCAAGGGTGTCGGGGTTTTCCCACGTAAAGGCAAAGAGGTTTTGGGAATCAGGGTGTAAAGGAATTGTGAAAAAAGCATCCTTTAGGTTTAGAACAGAAAAATGGGTGGTGTTGGAGGGAATTGTGGAAAGTAAAGTGTATGGGTGAGGAGATACTGGGCATACTGGGAGTACAGCTTGGTTAATGAGCCTGAGGGCCTGGACTAAGCGATAAGTTCCATCTGGTTTTTTAACAGGTAGAATCTATATGTTAAAAGGGGAGTCTGTTGGGCAGAGTAGGTGACTGACGAGAAGGAGAGAAACGATAGGCTTTAGGCCTGTAAGAGCTGCTTGGGGGATGGGATACTGCTTCTGTGACAGGAACTGGGCGGGCTCTTTAAGGGTAATGCGGACGGGGCTGTGGTGTTTTGCGACTGAGGGTGTGGAAGTATCCCAGACAGCCGGGTTAACTACGGATGGGGGAAAAGGAAAGGTTGCATGTTTTAGGGTGGGAAGTTGGACGAGTAGAAGAAAGCTAGAAGTACCGGAGGGGTCTGGGCAGATGCGTTGGCTGCCATGGGGAATGTGGAAGTGGAGAGTAGTGTAGAGTTTTGAAAGGATGTCTCTGCCTAGAAGCGGAGTTGGGCATGAGGGCAGGACTAAGAGTGAGTGAGGGAAAAGGCGTGAAGGGAGCAGAAGAGCGGAGGGTGGCTCAGGGTTTGGAGACTTGTCCATCAATTCCCACAACAGAGACTTGGGAGGACTGGGTCGGTCCTGAAAAATTAGGTAAAGCAGAGTAGGTTGCCCGGTATTAATTAAAAAACATACTGGCCTACCTGCCACCATCAGGGTTACCCTTGGCTCGGATGAAGCGATGGTAGTTGCTGGGGCATCCATTCCAGGGCACCGTCAGTCTTCAGCAGCAAGGCCAATGAGAGTAGGAGGTTTTTGGCTGGCTCAGGAAGGGATGGGGGCGGTCCTTACAGGGGCCGCTTACAGTCCAACTTCCAGTGGGGTTTTCTGCAGAGGGGGCACAGCCTGGTGGGCTTAGCCGGGTTTGGGCATTGTCTGGACCAGTGGCCTACATTGCCACACTTGAAACAGGTGCCAGGTGGAGGTGGATTACCAGGAGGCTTCCGTGTGGAGCCACAGCCCCGTGAGCCTGCAGGGCCCCTGATGGCAAAGGCAAGCATTTGAAACTCTCCCTGTTTTTGCCTTTTACTTTCCTTATCATGACTGTTAAAGACTTTGAAGGCTAAATTAAGAAAGTCTAGTTGTGGGGTTTGAGGGCCGTTGTCAACCTTATGAAGCTTGTGCCAGGTATCGGGGTGGATTGGGAGATGAATCGAAGGTTTAAAATAGTGGTTCCTTCTGGGCTGGCTGGGTCTAGGTTGGTATACTTTCTCATGGCTTCAGTTAAACGACAGAGAAAAAGGGCTGGGTTTTCGTCGGGACCTTGGGTGATTTCTGAAAGTTTTTCATAGTTGACTGCTTTATGGGCACCCTTTTTGAGTCCTGCAAGGAGACACACAATCATGTGGTCTCGATGGCGGCGTCCAGAAGCCCCGTCTTGATAATTCTAGAGGGGGTCCTGTTTGGGGACTGCCTCTGCACCAGTAGGCTGCGCAGGAGCCTGGTGATGAATTGTATCAGCATGTGCCTGAGTTAGGGTCCAGATACGGTCTCAGTCTTCTGGGGTGAGGGTGGAAGACAGGATAATGTAGAGGTCATGCCAGGTTAGTTCATAAGACTGGGTGAGGTATGAAACTCATATATAAGAGGTAGGGTCTTCTGGAAGTGAATCAAGTCTTTTGTTAATTTGAGAGAGATCAGTGAGGGAGAATGGAACATGAACTCTAACAATACCTTCAGTTCCTGCTACTTCCCGAAGGGGGCGCTGAAGTAAAGGTGGGGCATGGGCTGAAGATGGCGCCCGAGCGAGTATGGGCGGGAGAGAAGGAAAAGCCGGAAGTGGTTCCTGCTGAGGGTTTGAAGGGGGAAGAGGGGTTGAGTTAATAGGCGGCGGAGGATAGATAGGGGTGTAAGGTGGCGGGATGGGTTTACGGGCCTCAGGAGAGAGGGCGGTGATGAAGGAGAATGGGGACAGGCAATACTAGAATTGTCCTGAGGAGGGGACGGTGTCGGAAGAGAAGTGGATACTGCTGACTGGGAAGGTGGCGGCTGAGAAGATAAAGAGGAGGCTTGGGGGTTTAAAAAAGACATTTGAGAGGGAGAGGAAGGGGCTGGGAGGGGTGGGCAGCAGTCTGCTGGATCAAACGAGGAAGAAGAGGTAGGGTTGGGAGGAGAAACGCGATCAAGGTGGAAGAATGGAGGAGAAACAGGTAAGCAAGAACAGCAGAGGTCGGGCTGTGATCTGAGTGCAAAAAGGCCTGGACAGAAGGACATAAGGAATCTCTCCCCATTTCTCCAGTCGTCGGAAATAATTGCTTAAGTCAGGTAAAACTGTAAAGTCGAATGTTCCATTTGCGGGCCATTTGGACCCGTTATCTAGTTGGTACTGTGGCCAGACTGAATTGAAAAAAAGACAAGGCGCTTAGGGCGGATATCTTGCCTGAGGCCTGAGGTTTGCAGGTTTTTATGAGGTAGCCTAGCGGGCTGTCCTTTGGAAAGGAAGACTGAGAATTTCCCATAACAGAGGGTAGGCTCAGGAGAACAGGGAAAAGGAGACCGTCCTGCATGGCTGGAGGGAGACGATAAAAGAAGCAGTCATCACCGCTGCCTTTTTCGTTCCTGGAACGGGATCAAATGGCTTAGAGGCGACCCCCTAAGACCAGATGATCAGCGAGTGCCTGGCACACGCCAGAGCCTTCTTGGACCAACGTTGGATTTTCGGGCCAGAGAAACCAAGAGAAGCTGTGTGGATTTTTCCCTGTTAATGGGGCTCCAGGGAAACTTACAGGTAGGCAAGATCAGTGACTGATGTGCATGCACAGAGAGGCGATTGGAGACTGAGGAGCTTCCTTTGTCCGGCTGCTGTGGCCTACTCTCCGGGGTGCAGGGGTAGGCCCACAGGGGACACAGACCTGAGCCCCTCCTGGGTTTCGGCACCAGATTAAAGGTTCTTGTATCTGTTTGAACCCCGGGAGCGCGCCAACAAACAACACAAGGTGGTGTGGAGCAACATGCTGTTTTATTGGGCGCCTGGGTGCAGACGGTATGAGACCTAAAATGGCGTCAGCACCAAATGAGTGCTGAGCAGGGGTTTTACAGTGTCCTGTAAACAGGAAGTGTTCCAGTCTGACGGGACTGCTACGCAGCAACCGGATGGCCTCTCGCGATCCTCAGGGGTACATGTCTTCCGGCCAGGGTAAGTGTCTTCCGGCCGGCTCTCTTCCTGCTTCTGCTGTCTTGCTGAGGCGCGCTGCTGGCGCAAGTGGGCTTGTGCCTCCGGACTGGGCCTGAGGAGGGAGGAGTTATTCATCCCCTTAAGCTTTCAGGCCCCGGGGAGAACCTTTCAGGCATAAAGTAATGAACACTAATAAGTGATTTTTAAATTACCCCTGTGATAAGGGCTACGGTTTAGGAATACATAGAAAATGTATCACGGAATTTTCCCTTAGTCTGTAGCGTCAGAGAAGCCTTCCAGGAGAAGTAACTTTGAAAGGCAGATGTGGAAGATGAAGAAAAGGCAGCACAGGAAAGGGAGGAGGCAGGGCTGTCCATGGGTGGCAGGACTTAAGGAGGACCCGTGTAGCTTTGGGAACAAGGGACAGAGTGGCAACAGGTCTTGTTGGAATGTACCTTGAGAGCCCGTCACAGCAGGGAGGTGGCAGAACCAGGTTTGCATTTTTACTTTATTTATTTATTTATTTATTTATTTATTTATTTATTTATTTATTTTTGAGCTGGGGTCTCGCTTCGCCCAGGCTGGAGTGCAGTGGTGCGATCTGGGCTCACTGCAAGCTCTGCCTCCCGGGTTCCCGCCATTCTGCCTCAGCCTCCCGAGTAGCTGGGACTACAGGCGCCCGCCACCACGCCCGGCTAATTTTTTGTATTTTTAGTAGAGACGGGGTTTCACCGTGTTAGCCAGGATGGTCTGGATCTCCTGACCTCGTGATCCGCCCTCCTCGGCCTCCCAAAGTGCTGGGATTACAGGCGTGAGCCACCGCGCCCGGCCACTTTATTTATTTTTTGAGACAGGATCTCACTCTCTCATCCAGGCTGGAGTGCAGTGGCACCATCATAGCTCATTGCAGCCTTGAACTCCTGGGCTTAAGCTATCCTCCTACCTCAGCCTCCCAAGTAGCCGGGACTACAGGCATGCTTCACCATGCCTGGCTAATTTTTTAATTTATTTTTTTGCAGAGACAAGGTTCACCATGTTGCCCAGACTGGTCTTGAACTCCTGGCCTCAGTCTCCCAAAGTGCTGAGATTACAAGTGTGAGCCACCTTGCTGGCCAAGGTTTGTATTTTTAAAGGTGGCCCCGCTGCAGTGGGGTGCAGAGGAGAGAAAAATGGGGTATAAGAGGATAGTGGGGTGCAGGGGGGAGGGACAGTGGGGAAAAAGGGAGAAGATGGTGGGATGCTGGGGAGAGGGCAGCACTGGGGGATTTCAGGTGAGTTTCAAGGCCACTGAGCTAGGACAGGTGAGATTCCAGCATGGTGCAGTTTGGAGGCAACAATATGGGTGAAGAGAAGTACAGAGATTTGAGAAGTATTTGGGTGGCAAGCTGGGAGGCAAACTTCCAGGTTTCTACGTGAGCACAGGGGCGATGTCTTGGGGAGGAAGGAATATTGCAGCAGGAGTTCAGTGTGGAACATGCAGAGTGGAAGGGTAGCCATGGCAGGAGACAGCTGAACATGCAAGTCCAAAGAACAGAGAGAGCTTTAGGCTGCTGGGGAAATGTTGGGGGTCTTGCCCTGTTGCTGTAATTGAAGTTGTGAGAGTAGATGAGGTGGTTGGGGAAGAAAGCACCCACAGACAAGTGGCCAGGCGCGGTGGCTCAGGTTTGTAATCCCAGCACTTTGGGAGGCCAAGGCAGTGGATCACTTGAGCCCCGGAGTTCGAGACCAGCCTGGGCAACATGGAAAAACCTCATCTCTATAAAAAATACAAAAGTAGCTGGTTATGGTGGCATGTGCCTGTAGTCCCAGATACTCTGGAGGGTGAGGTGGAAGGATTGTTTGAGCCCAGGAGGCGGAGGATGCACTGAGCCCTTGATCATGCCACTGTACTCCAGCCTGGGTGACAGAGCAAAAACCTATATTGATATGGTTTGGCTCTGTGTCCCTACCCAAATCTCATCTCAATTTGTAATCCTCGTGTGTTGAGGGAGGAACCTGTAATCCCCATATGTCAAGGGGGGCAGGTGATTGGGTCATGGGGGTGTCCCCCATGCTGTTCTGATGATAGTGAATGAGCTCTTGCGAGATCTGATGGTTTTATAAGTGTTTGGAAGTTCCTCCTTTGTCTCCCTCTCTCCCTCTCTCTCTCTCTCTCTCTCTCTCTCTCTCTCTCTCTCTCGCTGCCTTGTGAAGAAGGTGCCTGCTTCTCCTACCACCATGATTGTAAGTTTCTTGAGGCCTCCACAGACATGTGGATCTGTGAGTTAATTAAGCCTCTTTTATTTAAAAATTACCCAGTCTCAGGTAGTATCTTTATAGCAGTGTGCAAATGGACTAATACATATAGCAAAAAAAGCAAAAACAAACAAAAAACAAAAGCAGACAAGGGAGGCTGGATGCAGAGGGCTGGCTGGGTATTTAAAAGTCAAGAGGGAGTTTGTACTGTTATAAACAAAGGGTTGGATAAATAAATGGGGAGTAGATATCATCTGTGCAGAACTCCAAATGATTTACATAGATGATCTGCCCTCGAGGAGTGGTAGCATAGCACTGCAGCCCTTAGGTGTGGAATGTTTATAGTGACTGCCTCTCCATCTATACAGTGTGGAAAGGAGGAAAGAGTCACTGTATAATGGACAAACCTGACAATCATTACCTGAGGCAGGTGACCAAGGCCAACATCAACAATGATAAGTCAAGTTGACAGTTTGAACCCTTGAGAATGAAGTACTGAGAAGGGCACTTTACCTCTGTGGTCTTTCAACCCCAAACCTTCCTCCCCCAAAACTCTCATCTAACCATGAGAAAATCATCAGACAGACTGGGCAAAGTGGCTCATGCCTGTAATCCCAGCACTTTGGGAGGCTGAGGCAAGAGGATCTCTTGAGCCCATGAGTTCCAGACCAGCCTGGGCAACATAGTGAGATCTCGTCTCTATTTAAAAAAAGAAAAAAGAAAATCATCAGACAAACCTTGATTGAGGGATAGTTTACAAAATACCACAGCACCTCAAAACCATCAAGGTCATCAAAAACAAGAAAGTCTGAGAAACTGTCAGTCAAGGAGAGACTAAGGAGGCAGGACAGCTGGGTGCAACGAGGCATCCTAGATCGATGTCCCGAAACAGTAAAGAGACATAAGGTGAAAACTGAGGAAATCTGAACAAAGCATGGACTTTAGTTAATAACGTTATCTACATTGATTCATTAATTATAACGTGTATCCAACAAATACATTAATAAAATACTAATAATAGAAGAAACTGAGTGCAGAGGTTATGGGAACTCTATGCATTATCTTACCAATTTTTCTGAATGTCTAAAGCTCTCTTCTAAAAACTAAAGTTTACTTTTTAAAAAACTGCTATGAAAATTTTCTCTGGCATCCTAATGTATTGTTTGGGATTCCCGAAGTGGGGAATTAATGAGATAATTTTAGTTTGGCAAATGGATATAGTATTAAAAACATAAAGTTACATACTGAAAAGTTATTCTTTTCTTCAACTCTTCTGGTGAGATCACACAGTGAGTCTTCTTCAGTGCTAGGATGCCTTCATGGCTTCTTTGACACTTACTAATCTCCATTATTTAATGACCTCAAACTCATAGACCCAGCTGGACTCCAGTGTCTACAGTTCAATAGCATTGCTTTGTTTTGAGTTCATCTTCAGGCACCTTTTTTTTTTTTGAGACGAAGTCTCGCTCTGTTGCCCAGGCTGGAGTGCAGTGGCTTGATCTCGGCTCACTGCAAGCTCTGCCTCCTGGGTTCATGCCATTCTCCTGCCTTAGCCTCCTGAGTAGCTGGGATACAGGCACCCGCCACCACGCCTGGCTAATGTTTTTATTTTTTTATTTTTAGTAGAGACGGGGTTTCACCGTGTTAGCCAGGATGGTCTTGATCTCCTGACCTCGTGATCCACCCGCCTCAGCCTCCCAAAGTGAGATTACAGGCGTGAGCCACCGCCCCTGGCCCTTAGACACCCTTTCTTTATGGCAAATGCTACCGGTTGTCCTTTTGTGTGAGCAATCTGAAGTTTCTTTAAAGAACTTGATTGCAGTTGTTAAAAGGAAGAACTTCAAGTATACTGGTTGACAATGGTGACTTTTACCTGAGCCCTGTGAGTGTGAATCAAAACAATCTTCCTACCCTTTGTGTCCTGGAAATGGCTTCCAGCTGATAACCTACAGGTCCAAATTAACTACCTGGAGAAGGTTTTATGATTCGTGGCTTACATCCTGTCCCTGAGTAAAAAATCTTTGCGTTGAGTTCCTCAAATCTCATCGTGCCTCCCCTTCTATTCCAAAAAAATAGCTACTAAGATTTAAAAAAAAAAAAAAAAGTAAAAAAAATGACATACCTTCCTCACAGTTTGTGGACAGAGGACAGACAGAACTCAAAGTCATCCCTCTGCTCACTGGGATAAATGCGTATCTGATGACTTCCTTTGTAAAGGCTAATCAGAAACTCAAAAGAATGCAACCCTTTGTCTCTTATCTACCTATTACCTGGAAGCCCCATCCTCGCTTCAAGTTGTCCTGCCTTTCCAGACTGAACCAATGGACATTTTGTATGTGCTGATTGATGTCCTATGCCTCCCTAAAATGTATAAAACTGAGCTGCGCCCCGACCACCTTGGCACATGTCATCAGGACCTCCTGAGGCTGTGTCACGGGTGTGTCCTCAACCTTGGCAAAATAAACTTCCTAAATTGACTGAGACTTGTCTCAGATACTCTTTGATTTACAAAACATTTATCAAATTATGTCTGCCTCCACAGCCTTAATTTAGTTGACACAGCAAAGAACTTCCCTTCTTCACATGACTTAGATCTCTCTAAGAGATGTCCCCTTGTTGACCTGGCACAAGGCCACACACAGACCTTCCGAATTCCCACTCATTGCCCCACAAATGATTAGGCTGACTCTCTGTACTCACCGATCCACCAGAACAGAGTGCTGGTTAGCCAAACTCTCCTTCTCCCGGGCCCCTGATCCTGGACCCACCCTCAGCCTGGAGCAGCAGACAGCCCCTCCAGAGAACAGGCTGGACGCTGGATAAAACATTCTCTATCTACTCTCCATTCACCCCACCTCCCACCCATCCCTTCATGAGGCTCCTCCCATTTCCCCACACTTCATTCTTCTTAGCTTTAGTCACTCTTCCCTCTAGAAGAAAAACCCCTTTCTACCCAACCTTTGAGATGCTGGCAGATTTCATTTTAGGAGCGTTCTCCCTATTGAAATAGTCCCCCTCTTCCTATTACAACAGCCCCTTCCCCTTCCTCTTGTAATAATCCTTTTCTATAAAGTGACTCCTTACCAAGTCTGGAGTTTTTTTTGTACTTGACACAGTACAGGTGGTATTCGCAGTGGCGATGTAATGAAAGTGGTCTGTGAATAAATTAAGAATCAGAAATGCTGTAGTCATAAGACAAAATAAGACAGTGATTTGGGGAGATATCTTCCCATATTCATTTTGAATCCTTGCTGTTCGGCTGGATGCTGTAATAATCGTGAGCTCATGTCTTTGTCACGCAGGCTAAAAAAAGCACCTGGATTTGGGGGGTGTTTAATAATATTCTGGGTGTGGTGGTGCAAGCCTGTAGTCCCAACTACTCAGGAGGCTGAAGCTGGAGGATGGTTTAAGCCCAGAGTTCAAGTCCAGCCTGGGTCACATTGCCAGACCTCATCTCAAAACTAAATAAACAGGCCAGGTGCCACGGCAAATACCTGTAACCAGCACTTTGGGAGGCCAAGACGGGCAGATCACTTGAGCCCAGGAGTTCGAGACCAACCTGGATAATGTGGTGAAACCCAGTCTCTACTAAAAATACAAAAAATTAGCTGGCTGTGGTGGTGAGCACCTGTAGTCAGCTACTCAGGAGGCTAAGGTGGGAGGATCGCTTGAGCCCAGGGAGTTGAGGCTGCAGTGAGCCATGATCATGCCCCTGCGTTCCAGCCTGGGCAACGACAATGAGATTCTGTCTCAAACAAAAATGAATAAATAAAAATAAATAAACAAACGTGTCTAATCAACTCATCTGTTTAACTAACATTGCATATATTGCATATGTGCTTTTCTTTATTTATGTTTTCTTTTTCTTTTCTTTCTTTTCTTTTTTTTTTTTTGATACTAGTTCTCCCTCTGTCACCCAGGCTGGAGTGCAGTGGCATGATCATGGCTTACTGCAACCTTGAACTCCTGGACTCAAGCAGTCCTCCCATCTCAGCCTCTGGACTACAGGTGTGTGCCACTACACCTGGCTAGTTAAGAAAATTTTTTTTGTAGAGATGGGGGTCTCGCTATGTTGCACAGGCTGGCCTTGAACTCCTGGGCTCAAGTGATCCTCCTGCCTAGGCCTCTGAAAGCACTGACATTATAGGCATGAGCCATCAGGCTCGGCCGACATCTTGATTTGTAGCCCACTGTGGCCCATGTGAGATGTCTGACTCCAGAATTGCAAGATAATAAATATATCTTATTTATTTATGTATTTATTTTGAGACAGAGTTTCATTCTTGTTGCCCAGGCTGGAGTGCAATGGCACGATCTCAGCTCACTGCAACCTCCACCTCCCAGGTTCAAGGGAATTCTCCTGCTTCAGCCTCCCGAGTAGCTGGGACTACAGGCATGCGCCACCACACCCGCATAATTTTGTATTTTTAGTAGAGACGGGGTTTCTCCATGTTGCTCAGGCTGGTCTCAAACTCCCGACCTCAGGTGATCTGCCCGCCTCGGCCTCCCAAAGTGCTGGGAATACAGGCGTGAGCCACCATGCTCAGCCTAAATATATTTTATTTTAAACAATTAAATTTGTGGTAATTTTTATAGCACCAATAGGAAATTAATACAACACACATCTATAGTTATATATGCTATATATACATGCTATTGTATGTATAAAATATTTTTGAGAGATTTACATAGCAATGTTAACATCATTTCCTCTGGAAAACGGAACTGAAGGTCTAGGTGATAAAAGGTCACAGGGAGATTTTTCGTGTTATTTTGGTTTGTCCTTTTGAATTTTGAAGGTTTTTTTTTTTTTCTTTTTTTCTTTTTTTTGGAGACAGAGTCTTGCTCTGTTGCCCATACTGGAGTGCAATGACATGATTTCGGCTCACTGCAACCTCCACCTCCTGAGTTCAAACGATTCTCCTGCCTCAGCCTCCCTAGTAGCTGGTATTACAGGCACACAACATCACGTCTGGCTAATTTTTATATTTTTAGCAGAGATGGGATTTCGCCATGTTGACCAGACTAGTCTTGAACTCCTGACCTCAAGTGATCTGCCTGCCTTGGCCTCCCAAAGTATTGGGATTACAAGCGTAAGCCACCACGCCCAGCCTGAGTACTGTTTTTTTGTTGTTGTTGTTGTCTGTTTGTTTGTTTGTTTTTTGGAGGTGGAGTCTCGCTCTGTCATCCAGATTGGAGTGCAGTGGCGCCATCTCAGCTCACTGCAGCCTCAACCTCCCGGGTTCAAGTGATTCCCCTGCCTCAGCCTCCCGAGTAGCTGGGATTACAGGCACATGCAACCACACCCGGCTAATTTTTGTACTTTTTTTAGTAGAGATGGGGTTTCACCATGTTAGTCAGGCTGGGCTTGAACTCCTGACCTCAGATAATCTACCTGCCTCGGCCTCCCAAAATGCTGGAATTACAGGCATGAGCCACAGTGCCCAGCCCCTGAGTTAATTTTTTTTTTTTTCTTTTTGAGACGGAGTCTCGCTCTGTCGCCCAGGCTGGAGTGCTGTGGCGCGATCTCGGCTCACTGCAAGCCCCGCCTCCCGGGTTCACACCATTCTCCTGCCTCAACCTCCAGAGTAGCTGAAACTACAGGAGCCCGCCACTACGCTCAGCTAATTTTTTGTATTTTTTAGTAGAGACGGTTTCACTGTGTTAGCCAGGACGGTCTTGATCTCCTGGCCTCGTGATCCACCCGCCTCAGCCTCCCAAAGTGCTGGGATTACAGGCGTGAGCCACCGCGCCCGGCCCTGAGTACATTTTTAAACATTGAATTAAATTTAAATACTTTTCTTTTCTTTCTTTTTTTTTTTTTTTTTTGTTGTTGTTGTTGTTGTTGTTGAGACGGAGTCTTGCTCTGTCGCCCAGGCCGGAGTGCAGTGGCGTGATCTCGGCTCACTGTAACCTCCGCCTCTGGGGTTCAAGAAATTCTCCTGCCGTCCGGCCTGGGCGACAGAGCGAGACTCCGTCTCAAAAAAAAAAAAAGAAAGAAAGAAAGAAATTCTCCTGCCTCAGCCTCTTGAGTAGCTGGGACTACAGGCGCCTGCCACCACGCCTGGCTTTTTTTTTTTTTTTTTTTTTTTTTTTTTTTTTTTTCTGTATTTTTAGTAGAGACGCGGTTTCTTCATGCTGGCCAGGCTGGTCTCAAACTCCTGACCTCGTGATCTGCCCACCTCAGCCTCCCAAAGTGCTGGGATTACGGGTGTGAGCCACCATGCCCAGCCTTAAAAACTTTTTTATATAAAAATTAGCCAGGCGTGGTGGCATGCACCTGTAATCCCAGTTACTGACTGAATGGAAATCAGCCTGACTCCCAGGCTGACACGGGAGGATCCCTTGAGCCTGGGAGTCCGAGGCTGCAGTGAGCTGAGATCGTGCCACTACTCTCCAGCCTGGGTGACAGAGCAAGACCTGTTTCAAAACAAACAAAAAAACCATTTTCTTCTTGGTGGATTTCTCTGCTGTATGTCCTAGGCAATCTCTATCCCTTCAACATTAAAGGGAGAATGTACTGTCCCAGTGCTGTGGTTTGAATATGGCTTGTCCCCACAAAAACTCATGTTGAAACCTAATTCCCAATGTGGCAGTGTTGAGAAATGGGACCTTTTTAGGAGGTGATTGTACCATGAGGCCTCTGCTCTCATGAATGAGTTACTCATTCATGGATTACCTGATTAATGGGTTATCATAGGAATGGAGCTGGCAGCTTAATAAGTAAAGGAAGAGAGACCTGAGCTATCGCACTCAACCCCGTTGCTATGTGATGCCCTGGCCTACCTTGGAACTCTGCAGAGTCTCCACTAGAAAGAAGGTCCCTTACAAGATGCAGCCCTCCACTCCTCTCAGTTCAGTCTACTCCAGCTCACTCAACTCCTCTCCATTCCATTTCACTTATTCCGTTCTACTTCATTTGTTTCCATCCCACTGCACTCCGTTCTGTTCTATTCTGGTCTATTCTAGTCTGTTCTATTCCATTACACACCACTCTACTTCATTTTGTCTTATTCTATCCTACCCCATTCTACTCCACTCTATTTCATTTTGCTTATTCTATTCCATTTCATTCTATACTATTTCATTTCATTTTACTCCACTCCACTCCATTCTATTCTATTCCCCTCCCTTCCATTATACTTCACTCCCTTCATTTCACTCCATCCCATTTTATTCTATTCTTTCTATTCTCTTCCATTCTTTTTCATTTTACTTCACTATTCCACACCACTCCATTCCATTGTATTATATTCTATTCAGTTATATTCTGTTTCACTACAATCCATCCCATTTTTTCCAATTTATTCTATTTTATTCAATTTCATTCTTTTTATTTGTTTGTTTTTTGTTTTTTTGAGATGGAGTCTCAATCTTTGCCAGGCTGGAGTGCAGTGGCGCGATCTCGGCTCACTGAAACCTCTGCCTCCCGGGTTCAAGCGATTCTCCTGCCTCAGCCTCCCGAGTAGCTGGGATTATAGGCACGTGCCACCACGCCTGGCTAATTTTTGTATTTTTGGTAGAGACGGGGTTTCACCATGTTGGTCAGGCTGGTCTCGAACTGCTGACCTCATGATCCGCCCACCTCGGCCTCCCAAAGTGCTGGGATTACAGGCGTGAACCACTGTTCCTGGCCAATTTCATTCTTTTCAATTCCCTTCCACTGCATTCTGTTATATTCTATGCCATTCTACTCCTCTCTATTCTACTCCACTCCTTTGCATTCTAGTTTATTATGTTCAATTATATTCTGTTTTATACCACTCCATTTTATTTCAATTTATTCTAGTCTAGTCTATTTCATTTTACTCCATTCCATTCTGTTCTATTCTACTCTATTACATTCCATTCCACTCCACTCCATTCTTATTCCATTCCATTCTATTTCATTATGCTCCATTGTATTCCACTCTACTCAACATCATTCTGTTCAATTCAATTGTCTTTCACTATACTTCACTTGCCTTCATTCCATTCCGTTCTGTCTATTCCATTCCACTCCATTCCATCCTATTCAATTCTATTTCATTCTATCTTACTCTATTCCATTACACTCTAATTGATTCTAATATATTCCATTCCACTTCATTCTAATCTATTCCATTTCTTTCCACTGTATTCCATTCCATTCATTTCCACTCCACTCCCTCGACTTCACTGCACTCCATTCCTTCCCACTCTATTCTACTCCACTCCACCACATTCCACTTCACTCCATTCCATTATATTTCAGTCTAGTCAACTCTATTCTGCTTTATTTCACTCCTGTCCTACTCCATTCCATCCCACTCCATTCTGTTCCATTTCACTCCACTCCTATTCTATTTCATTCAACTCTGTTCTATTCCACTTCACACCATTCTGTTCAATTCAATTTAACCCAATTCTATTCTTTCTATTCTATTCCATTACATTCTCTCTACTTGTCTCCTATTCTATTCCACTCGCTTTTTTTTTTTTTTTTGAGATGGAGTCTCACTCTGTCACCTAGGCTGGAATCCAGTGGCATGATCTCAGCTCACTGCAACCTCTGCCCCCCAGGCTCAAGGGATTCTCTTGCCTCAGCTTCCTGAATAGCTGGGGTTACAGGCACATGCCACCGCGCCCGGCTAATTTTTGTATTTTTAGTAGAGATGGGGTTTCACCATGTTGGCCAGGGTGGTCTCGAAGTCCTGGCCTCAAGTGATCCACCCGCCTCAGTCTCCCATATAGAATGGAAATAGCTCCATAATGGACATCCTACATCAGAGGCCACCACGTCCCTGCAGAACAGTAGGATTTAGCTAGCTATGGTCCTATAGGGGAGAGCCATTAGCTAGTCTACATAACCAACAATATGCAGCCTATGGCATTCACAGGAAACATGGCAATTCCTATTGCAGTGACCTCTCCTATTTAGAGACTTTCTCACATGAAGTCTGCGTAGTCACAAGGCATATTTACGCTAGACCCAACACTTTTTCAGTCATGATTCATCCTTGCCCTGATTCTATGTAAATCAAAGATGTTTAAACCTCCCTATATCCTGAGTTGGCAATAATTAACCAGGTTACCACACTAGTTCAACATACTGACAAGAAAACATAAAGGAGGCATATAATTACTTGGCCTACACACCTTACGATGTGGGGACCATCTTCTGTTCTCCTCTGAGGACTTCCACTAGCTGAAGAAACCATGAGACATCTGAGAGCAACCCCCTCCTTTCCATTGCAACAGTGCTAAAAGCACTCCAGGCCTTCATGCCTGCTGAGCCCTTCTCAGTGTGATCCTCATAAGCTTGCCTGCCAACTGCACAGCTCCCTTGGAGGAGTCCTCTTCCATGTCACTATTATTAGATGACTGTTATGAGCTGCTTTTCTCCATGTCAATCATCCACATTTTTGCCTATGGGAGGAAATTTAGCCTATACCCCTAAGGACTGATGGATATATTCAGCTAAATAAGACTTCCTAGACACTAAAAATTTTCAAAGGCATGATTATTAATCTCAAATGAATAAGTATAAACTAAACAAAAATAAAATTATTTTTATGTAGCACAAAATACTTCTAAAATAGAGTAAATATTAGTCATAAAGAAATCCTTAATTGTTTAAAAATATCAATATTATAAAATTGGTTTTTTGAGAAAAAAAGGAAAACTTGCAAACTTAAAAAAAATTTTACCTTTTATTGATATGTAATAGATGTGTGTATTTTTGGGGTAGATGTCATAATTGGATACATTTATATAATCAAATTCCAAATATGTTTTATGAAGTAAATAGAACGTTGGTACCAAATACTAACAAAGATGGTATCAAAAGAAAAAAAACAGCAGATCATTCATATTTATTAACATCAATGAAAAAACCTTCTATAAAATGTTATAAATGTAAACCATTAGCTTATTAAAAATAATAGACTTTCCAGTGAAAGAGATTAACCAATCTAGAAAAAGGAAAATAGATCCACTTGAAAAACGAATAAATGTATGGTGATATCTAAAGCAATGGGGGAAGACATATTAAGACAAGTCATGTGGGAATAACTAGATAGTAATATGGATAAGAATAAAGCTTAAATCATATTATAAACCATAAAAGTAAATGCATGCAAATAGCAAAGTTTCCATATATTCCATTCTAATTAAAAAAAAAAATGCCAGAATAAAATGCATAGATGAATCATTGTATAAATGGGAGCATGGAAAACTTTCTCACTATGTCTCAAATCCTGAAACAATGAAGGAAAATATTAATATATTTGACTACATAGAGTTTTTAAACTAATCTGCTTAGTAATATTAAGCATAAGTCACATTTAAGTGTAGTAAAACTATAAGTAAACATAAGTAAAAATTAAGCATGAAGCAAAATTAAGGGAAGGGCAGAGCAAGACGGCAGAACAGGCTTCACTAATCATTCTCCTGCGAGGACACCAATTTAACATCTACAAAAAAAACCACCTTTATAAGAACTAAAAATCAACTGTGAACTCACAGTACCTGGTTTTAACTTCATATTGCTGAAAGAGGCATTGAAGAGGTAGGAAAAACAGTCTTGAATCACAAACACCATCCCTCCCCCATTCCCAAGCAGCTGTGGCATGGTGCGGAGAGTGATTCTGTGCACTGGAGAGAGGCAAAGTGCAACAACTGTGAGGCATTGAACTCAGTGCTGCCCTGTTAGAGCAGAAAACAAAATGGAACAAAACTCAGCTGATGCCCATCAATGGAAGGAGCATATAAACAAGCTCTAGCCAGAGGGAAATCGCCAATCCCAGCAGTCAGAACCTGCAAGCCTCACTGCCACAGGCTAAAGTGCTCCAGGGCCCTAAATAAACTTGAAAGGCATTCTAGGCTACAAGGGCTGCAACTCCTAGGCAAGTTCCTGTGCTGAACTGGGCTCATAGCCAGTGGGCTGTGGGGGCACATGACCCACTGAGACACCAGCTGGAGCAATTAAGGGAGTGCTGGCATTACTCCTCCCTACACCCAGGCTGCAGAGTTTGTAGTTCTAAAAGTGATTAAGGGAGTGCTGGCATTACCCCTTCCCCACACCCAGGCTGCAGAGTTTGTAGTTCTAAAAGAGAACACTTACTTCCACTTGAGGAGAGGAAAGGGAAGAGTGGTAGGACTTTGTCTTTACCTTGGATACCAACCCAACCACGGCAGAATAGGGTACCAGTCAGAGTTGTGAGGCCCCTTTTCCAAGCCCTGGCTCCTGGACATTTCTAGACACACGTGGGTTCAGAAGGGAACCCAGTACCTTGAAAGGAAGAACACAGGCCTGCCAGGAATCATCACCCACTAACTGAAGAGCCCTTGGGCCCTGAATAAGGAGCATGATACCCAGGCAGTAAGTCATGGTGAGACTCTGAGATGTTCTGGTTTTAGGTGAGACTCGGCACATTACCATCTGTGCGGCTATGGGGCAAGACTCCTTCTGCTTGAGAAAAGCAGAGGGAAAAGTAAAGGGGACTTTATTTTGCACCTTAGGTACCAGCTTGGCAACAGGGGAGTAGAGCACCAAGCAGGCTCTTGGGGTCCTCAATTCAAGGACTTGGGTTTTTTATGGTGATATGGCTTGGATCTGTGTCCTCACCCAAATCTCATGTTCAGTTGTAATTCCTAAAGTTGGAGGTGGGGCCTGGTGAGAGGTGACTAGATCATGGGGGTGGTTTCTCATGAATAATTTAACACTATCCCCCCTTGGTACTGTCATCACAATAGTGAGTGAGTTCTCATGAGATCTGGTTATTTAAAAGCATGTAGCCCCTCCCCCATCTTTCTCTTGCTGCTGTGGCCATGTGACATGCCTGCTCCCCCTTCATCTTCCACCATGACTGTAAGTTTCCAGAGGCCTCCCCAGAAGCTAAGCAGTTGCCAGCATCATGCTTCCTGTACAGCCTGTGGAATCCTGAGCCAATTGAGCCTCTTTTTACTATACATTAACCAGTTTCAGATGTTTGTTTATGGCAATGCAAGAACAGCCTAATACAGAAAATTGGTACTGAGGAGTGGGGCATTGCTATAAAGATACCTGAAAATATGAAGTGACTTTGAAACTGGGTAACAGGCAGAAGTTGGAAGAGTTTGTAGGGTTCAGAAGAAGACAGGAAGATGATGGAAAGTTTGGAATATCCTACAGATTGGTTAAATGGTTGTGTCCAAAATGCTGATAGTGATAGGGACATGAAAGTCCAGGCTGTCAGATGGAAATGAGGAGCTTATTAAGAAATGGAGCAAAGGTCACTTTTGTTATGCCTTAGCAAAGAACTTGGCTGCTTTGTGTATCTGCCCTAGAAATTTGTGGAGCTTTGAACTTGAGAATGATGATTTAGTGTATCTGGTGGTAGACATTTCTGAACAACAAAACATTCAAGAAGTAGAGTGGTTGCTTCCAAAAGCTTATGCTTATATGCATGAGCAAAGAAATGATCTAAAGTTGGAACTTATATTTAAAGGGGATGCAGAGCATAACAGTTTGGAAAATTTGCAGCATGGCCATGTGGTAGAAAAGAAAAGCCCAAAAACTGGCTAGCCATATGCAGAAAACTGAAACTGGACCCCTTCTTTACACCTTATATAAAAATTAACTCAAGATGGATTAAAGACTTAAATGTAAAACCCAAAACCAGAAAAACCCTAGAAGAAAACCTAGGCAATACCATTCAGGACATAGGCATGGGCAAAGACTTCATGACTAAAACACCAAAAACAGTTGCAACAAAAGCCAAAATTTACAAATGGGATCTAATTAAACAGCTTCTGCACAGCAAAAGAAACTAGCATCAGAGTAAACAGGCAACCTATAGAATGGGAGAAAATTTTTGCAATCTACCCACCTGACAAAGGGTTAATATCCAGAATTTACAAGGAACTTAAATCTACAAGAAAAAAACAAACAACCCCATCAAAAAGTGGGCAAAACATATGAACAGACACTTTTCAAAAGAAGAAATTTATGTGGCCAAAAAACAAGAAAAGGTCAACATCACTGATCATCAGAGAAATGCAAATCAAAACCATAATGAGATACCATCTCATATTAGAAAGGCGATTTTTAAAAAGTCAGGAAACAACAGATGTTGTAGAGGATGTGGAGAAATAGGAACGCTTTTACATTGTTGGGACTGTAAATTAGTTCAACCATTGTGAAAAACAGTATGGTGATTCCTCAAGGATGTAGAACCAGAAATACCATTTGACCCAGCAATCCCATTACTGGGTATATACCCAAAGGAATATAAATCACTGTACTATAAAGACACATGCACATGTATGTTTATTACAGCACTATTTACAATAGCAAAGACATGGATCAAACCCAAATGCCCATCAAGGATAGACTGGATAAAGAAAATGTGGTACATATGCACCATAGAATACTATGCTGCCATGAAAAGGAATGAGATAATATCCTTTGCAGAGACATGGATGAAGCTGGAAGCCATCATCCCCAGCAAACTGACACACAGGAAGAGAAAACCAAACACTGCATGTTCTCACTCATAAGTGGGAGTTGAACAATGAGAACACATGGACACAAAGAGGGGAACAACACACACCAGGGCCTGCTGGGGTCTGTGGGGTGAGGGGAGGGAACTTAGAAGATGGGTCAATAGGTGTAGCAAACCACCATGGCACACGTATACCTATGTAACAAACCTGCACATTCTGCACGTGTATTCCTTTTTTTTTTTTTTTTAAAGAAGAAATAAGAAAAGTCCATTTTCAGGGGAGGAATTCAAGCATGCTGTAGAAATTTGCATAAGTAGAAATGAGTCAAGTGCTGATAGCTAAGACAATAGGGAAAAGGCCTCAAAGGCATTTCAGAGACCTTGGCAAGAGCCCCTCCCATCACAGGCCCAAAGGCTTAGGAGGGAAAAATGGTTTTATGTAACATGACCAGGGCTCACCCTGCACAGCCTTGGGACACAACTCCCTGCATCCCACCCATTCCAGTTCCAGCCTTGGCTCAAAAAGGCCCAGGCACAGTTCAGGCCACTGCTTCAGAGGGTGCAAGCTGTAAGCCTGGTGGCTTCCACGTGGTGTCAAGCCTGTGGGTGCACAGAGTACAAGAGTTGAGGCCTGGGAGCCTCCACCTGGATTTCAGAGGATATGTGGGAAAGCCTGGGTATTCAGGTGGAAGCCTGCTGCAGAGGCAGATCCCACATGGGGAACCTCTACTAGGGCAGTGTGGAGGGGAAATGTGTAGCCCCCACACAGAGTCCCCTCTGGGTCACTGCCTAGTGGAGCTGTAAGAAGGGAGCCACCACCCTCTAGACCCTGGAATGGTAGATCCACTGGCAGCTTACTCCCTGTGTCTGGAAATGGTGCAGGCAATCAACACCAGTTTGTGAGATCAGCCACTGGGGGCAAACCCTGCAAAGTCACAGGGGTGGAGCTGCCCAGGGTCTTGGGAGCCCATCCCTTGCACCAGTGTGCTACGGATTTGAGACATAAAGTCAAAAGAAATTATTTTGGAGCTTTAAGATTTATGACTGCCCTGCTGGGTTTCAAACTTGCATGGGGCTAGGAGCCCCTTTCTTTTGGCCAATGTCTCCCTTTTGGAACAGGAGTATTTACCCAATGCCTATGCCCCCATTGTATCTTGGGAGTAACTAACTTGTTTTTTATTTTACAAGTTCATAGGTGGAAGAGACTTGCTTTGTCATAGATGAGAATTTGGACTTTGGACTTTTGAGTTAATTCTGGGATGAGTTTAGACTTTGGGGCACTGTTGGGAAGGCATGATTATGTTTTGCAATGTAAGAATAAATTAACACAGATGGCATTTCTGGATGTGCCCTGGACCACAGGGGAGCCTGCTGCCCTGAAGGGTGAGTCTAGGTCAGGCAAAATTTGCCACAAGCTGGATGGAGAGCCCTTGGGCCTTCAGGGGACATCAGCAGCAGTGTTGTAATACTGCCCATGGGCCTGTGCTGGTGGCCATGGGGTGAGGGTCCTCTGCCTTTGGAAAAGGGAGGAAGAATGGGAACTACATCTTGTGGCTGGAGCGCTAGTTCAGCTGCAGAACAGTATTACACTAGGTAGTCTTCTAAGGTTTTTGACATTAGTCCTTGCCTCCCAGATAGCACCTCTGGACATGTCCCTGGCCTGGGGGAGCTCACCACGCTGAAGGAACAAACATAGGCTTGGCTGACTTTGCCACATGCTGATTGTGGAGCCCCAGAGCTTTGAGCAAACAAAGGCTGTAGCAAGAAAGGGGTTACAGGAGGCCTTGGGTGAGACCCAGTTCTGTGCTTGTTTTGGGACTGACCCAGCACAGCTCTAGAAGCGGTGGCCATAGGAGTACTTGTGTCACCCCACTGCCAGCTCCAGGTGGCTCAAAACAGAAAGAAAGAGAGACTGTTTAGAAGAAAGTAAGAAGAGAAAACAAGACTCTTTGCCTTGTAAATCAGAGAATTCTTCCAGATCTTGTGGAAGACCATCAAGGCAGTACTTCCATGAGTCTGCAAGAACCACAGCATTAGTGGGCTTAGGGTGCCCCCTAAAGCAGATACAACTTAGATCATAACACCCAAGTCCTTTTGAATATCTGAAAAGCCTTCCCAAGAAGAATGGGAACAAACAAGCCCAGACTATAAAGACTACAATAAATACCTAATTATTCAATGCCTGGGCACAGACAGACATTTACAAGTATCAAGATCATCCAGGAAAACATGACCTCACCAAATGAATTAAATAAGGCAACAGAGATCAATCCTGGAGAAACAGAGATATGTGGCCTTTCAGACAGAGAATTCAAAATTCAGACAGAGAATTTGAAGAGTATTTTTGCCAGATATACTACTCTAGGATAAAAGGTTTTTTTTTTTTTTCCTTCTTCAGCATGTTAAATATATCATGCCATTCTCTTCTGGCTTATAAGGTTTCCACTAAAAAGTCTGCTGCCAGACATATTGAAGCTCTATTGTGTGTTGTTTCTTTTCTCTCGCTTCTTTTAGGATCCTTTCTTTATTGTTGACTTTTGGGAGTTTGATTATTAAATGCCTTGAGGTAGTCTTCTTTGGGTTAAATCTGCTTGATGTTCTAATGTGTAACCTTCTTTAGTTGGATATTGGTATGTTTCTCTAGGTTTGGGGAGTTCTGTGTTGTTTTTCTGTATGATCTTTCTACCTCTATCTTTCTCTACCTCTTTATAGCCAACAATTCTCAGATTTGCCCTTTTGAGGCTATTTTCTAGATCTTATAGATGTGTCTCATTCTTTTTTATTCTTTTCCTTTTGCTTGTTTCTTTGTGCAAACAGTGCTGTTATCGGCTGAAAATAATGAGTTATAAGATAGTATTTGCAAGCCTTATGGTAACCTCACACCAAAAAACATACAACGAACACACCAAAAATAAAAAGCAAGAAACTAAATTTTATCACCAGAGAAAACCACCATAACTAAAAGGAAGACAGAAAGAAAAAGAAAGAAGGAAGAGAAGAAGAGAAGCCCACAAATCAACCAGAAAACAAATAACAAAATAGCAGGAGTAAGTCCTTACTTAACAATAATAACATCAAATTTAAATGGACTAGACCTTCTAATTCAAAGACATAGACTGACTCTGAATGGACACAAAAACAAGACCCAACGATCTGTTGCCTACAACCTGTAAAGACACACGTAAACTAAAAATAAAGGGATGAAAAAGATATTCCTTGCCAATGAAGACCAAAAACAGCAAGAGTAGCCATATTTATATCAGCCAAAAGAGATTTCTAAAGAAAAACTATACAAAGAGAAAGAAAGCCACTATATAATGATAAAGGGGTCAATTCAGCAAGAGAATATAACAATGTTAAATATATATACACCTAATACTTGAGGACCCAGATACATAAAGCAAATATTATTAGAATTAAAGAGAGAGATAGACCCCAATACAATAATGACTAGAGACTTTAACATCCCACTTTCAGCATTGAATAGATCTTCCAGATAGAAAATCAACAAAGAAACATAAAACTTAGGCTTGACATGGTGGCTTACACCTGTAATCCCTGCACGTAGGAAGGCCAAGGCAGGAGGATCATTTGAGCCCAGGAACTTGAGACCAGCCTGGGCAACACAGTGAGACCCTATCTCTATAAATTTAAAATACATATATATATGTGTGTGTGTGTATATATATGTATATATATGTGTGTGTATATATATGTATATATGTGTGTGTATATATATGTATATATGTGTGTGTATATATATGTGTGTGTGTGTATATATATATATATATATAAAAGAAACATTGAACTTAATCTACAATATAGACCAAATGGACCTAATAGGTATTTACAGAACGTTTCATCCAACAGCTGCAGAATTCACACTCTTTTCCTCACAATATTAATTATTCTCAAGGATAGACTGTATGTTATATCACAAAACAAGTCTTAAAATATTCAAAAAATTGAAGTAATATCAATCATTTTCTGTGACCACAGTGGAATAAAACTAGAAATCAATAGCAAGAAGGACTGGGCATGGTGGCTCACGCCTGTATTCCCAGCACTTTGGGAGGCCGAAGCAGGCAGATCACTTGAGGTCAGGAGTTTGTGACCAGCCTGGCCTGTTCTGGAAACCATCCCCACACCACCCAGTGGGCACCCCAATTCCGGCAGACACAAAGGAGTTAGAAAGAGACAGAATAAGCATTTAAAAGGCGGGTCCAGGGAGCCGGAGCATCGGAGGTTTGCTCAGGGCCCAGAGCTCTCAGGCTCTGCCCAATTTATTGGTTTACAAGCTCTTTACTCTTAGGGCAGATGGGAGGGAGAGAAAGGGATGAGGAAAAGGATTAATCAGTGAAGGAGAATTCATGAGTCATTCGATAAGATGTATAGCAGTGGCAGTTTCTGTGAATTTTCCTTGAGCAAAGGCATGTGTCTAAACTACTTAAGATCTTAAACTTATTGGGACTGAAATGGGTGGGAGTGGGGTTCAGGAGAAGCCCAGATGTTTGATTATACTCCACTGCTTCAAGGGAGTGTTATCTCCCTGAGCAACCTGTGGAATGCCGCTGAGCTGTTATGCTCTCAGGGTATAAAGACATGAAGGCAATAAGGAGACTTTTCTGCTCAGAGGCCACCCATGGCTTCCCATGGGTGTCTCATACAGGGGAGACCAACTCAAGTGGCACCCTAGAAACTCTTTCCCACACTGGCCAACAGGGTGAAACCCTGTCTCTACTAAAAATACAAAAATTAGCCGGGCATGGTGGCACAAGCCTGTAATCCCAGCCACTGGGAGGCTGAGGCAGGAGAATTGCTTGAACCCAGGAGGCAGATGTTGCAGTGAGCCAAGCTCATACTACTGGACTCCAGCCTGGGCAACAGAGCAAGACTCTGTCTCTAAATAAATACATAAAATAAGAGGAATTTTGGAAACTATTTGAAAACATGGAAATTAAATATATGCTCCTTAATGACCAGTGGGTCAATGAAGAAATAAAGAAGGAAACTGAAAAATTTGCTGAAACAAATTATAATGGAAATAGAAGACACGAAAACCTATGGGACACATTAAAGACAGCACTAATAGTAATAAGTGCTTACATCAGAAAAAAAGAAAAACTTCAAATAATCTAGTTAAAGAACTAGAAAAGCAAGTACAAACCAAACACAAAATTAGTAGAAGAAAAGAAATAATAATGATCAGAGCAGAAATAAATGAAATTGAAATGAAAAAACCAATACAGAAGATCAATAAACAAAAAGTTGGTTTTTCGAAAAGTTAGACAAAATTAACATACCTGCAACCAGACTAAGGAATAAAGAAGGAAGACTCAAATAAATAAAATTAGACATAAAAAAGGAAGACATTACACCTTATACTGCAGAAATTCGAAAATTCAAAGGATTATTAGTAACCATTATGAGCAACTATACACCAATAAATTGGAAAATCTAGAAGAAATGGATTCCTTGACACAACCTACCAAATTGAACCATGAAGAAATCCAAAACCTGTGCAGACCAAAAACAAATAATGACTTCCAGTGAAGAAAAGCCTGATACCCAATAATGAAGAAAAGCCTGGTACCCAAATAATGACTTCCAGTGAAGAAAAGCCTAGTACCCAATGGCATCACTGCTGAATTCTACCAAACATTTAAAAAGAACGAATACCGATCATACTCAAACTATTCTGAAAAGTAGAGGAGAATGGAATGCTTTAAAATTCATTCTAAAGGCCAGTATTACCCTGAAACCAAAATCAAAGACATATTTAAAAAACTGCAGGCCAATGTCTCTGATTAATATTGATGCAAAAATTCTCAATGAAATACTAACACACTGAATTCAACAGTACATTAAAAAGATCATTCATCATGGCCAAGTGGGATTTATCCCTGAGATGTAAGGGTGGTTCAACGTATGCAACTCACTCAATATAATACATCATATCAACAGAATGAAGGACAAAAATGATATCATTGCAATTAATGCTGAAAAAGCATATGATAAAATTCAACAGCCCTTGATGAAAAAAAAACTAAAAAAACTGGGTAAGGAAGGAACATACCCCAACGTAATAAAAGGCATATGTGACAGACTTACAGCTAGTATCATACTGAATGGGAAAAAAACTGAAAGCTTTTCCTCTAAGATCTAGAAGATGAGAAGAATGCCCATTTTCATCACTGTTATTCAACGTAATACTGGGAGTCCTAGCTAGAGCAATCAGACAAGAGAAAGAAATAAAGGGCATTCAAATTGGAAGGAAAAAAATCAAATTAGTGTTGTTTGCAGACAATATGATCTCATATTTAGAAAAACCTAAAGACTCCATCAAAAGCTGTTAGAACTGATAAATTAAGTAAAGTTGCAGAATACAAAACCACACACAAAAATCAGTAGCATTTCTATATGACAACAGTGAACACTCTGAAAGAGAAATTAAGAAAGTCATCCCATTTATAGTAGCCACACATAAAATTAAACACCTTGGAATTAACCAAAAAGGTAAAATTCTTTACAATAAAAACTATAAAACACTGATGAAAGAAATTGAAGTGGACACCATAAAAATGGAAAAATAGTCCATGTTCATGGATTAGAAGAATTAATGTTGTTAAAATGTCCATGCGACCCAAAGCAATCTACAGATTCAATACAATCTCTATCAAAAAACCAATGACATTCTTCAGAGAAATAGATAAATCAATCATAAAACTTACATAGAACAATTAAAGACCCAGGATAGCCAAAGTTATCCTAAAAAAAAAGAACAAAACTGGAGGGATCACATTAACTGACTTCAAATTATACTAAAGAGCTGTAATAACCAGAACAGCATGGTACTGGCATAAAAACAGACACATAGACCAGTGGAACAGAATAGAGAACTCAGAAATGAATCCACACACCTGCAGTGAACTCATTTTTAACAAAGGTGCCAGGAACATACACTGGAGAAAAGAGTCTCTTCAATCAATGGTCCTGGGAAAAACTGCATATTCATATGCAGAAGAATTAAACTAGAGCCTATCTCTTGCCATGTAAAAATCAAATCAAAATGGATTGAAGACTTAAATCTAAGACCTTAAACTAAGAAACTGCTATAAGAAAACATTGGGGAACTTGCAGGACATTGGTCTGGGCAAAAATACTTTTGAGTAATATCCACAAACACAGGCAACCAAAACAAAAATGGACAAGTTGTATCACATCAAGTTAAAAGGCGTCTGCACAGTAATGAAAACAATCAACAAAGTGAATAGACGAATCACAGGATGGGAGAAAATATTTGCAACCTACCCATAAGACAAGGGGTTAATAACCAGCATATATAAGGAACTCAAATAACTCTAAAGGGAAAAATGCAAAATCTGATTTAAAAAATGGGCAAAGTATTTGAATAGCCATGTGTATTAGTCTGTTCTCACATTGCTATAACAAAATACCTGAGACTGGGTAATTTATAAAGAAAAGAGGTTTAATTGGCTCATGGTTCTGCATGATATATAGAAAGCCTAGTGGCTTCTGCTTCTGGAGAGGCCTCAGGAAACTTATAATCATGGCAGAAGGCACAAAGGGGAAGCAGGCACATCTTACACGGCTGGAGCAGGAGCAACAGAGATGGGGGAGGTGCTACACACTTTTAAACAACCAGATTAATGATAACTCACTCACTATCATGAGAATAGCACCGAGTTGATGGTGCAAACCTATTAATGAGAACTCTGCCCCCATGATCCCATCAACTCCTGCCAAGCCCCACCTCCAACATTGGGGATTACAATTCCACATGAAATTTGGGTGGGGACACAGATCCAAACCATATCACCATTTCTTAAAGGAAGACAGACAAATGGCCAACAGGTATATAAAAACGTGGTCAACATCATTGATCATTAGAGAAATGCAAATCAAAACTACAATGAGATATTTTTTCACCCCTGTTAAAATTATATATATATTTTGAGACAGAGTCTTGCTCTGTTGCCCAGGCTGGAGTGCAGTGGCATGATCTTAGCTCACTGCAACCTCTGCCTCCCAGGTTCAAGCGATTCTCCTGCCTCAGCCTCCTGAGTAGCTGGGACTAAAGGTGCCCGCCACCACGGCTGGCCAATTTTTGTATTTTTAGTGGAGAGAGTGTTTCACCATATTGGTCAGGCTGGTCTCGAACTCCTGACCTTGTGATCCGCCCACCTCGGCCTCCTAAAGTGCTGGGATTACAGGTGTGAGCCACTGCACCTAGCCAAAATTGCTTATATTTAAAACACAGGCTATAACAAATGCTGATGAGGTTGTGGAAAAAAGAGAACCCCTCATACACTGTTGGTGAGAATGTAAATTATTAGTACAACCACTATGGACAGCAGTTTGGATGTTCCTCAGAAAACTAAAAGTGGAGCTATTCTATGATCCAGAAATCCCACTGCTGTGTATATATTGAAAAGAAAGGAAATCAGTATATCAAAGAGGTATCTGCACTTCTAGCTACTATGGAGGCTAAGGCAGGAGAATTGCTTGAGCCCAGGAGTTCAAGGCTGCAGTGAGCTATGATCACACCACTGTACCCCAGCCTGGGTGACAGCGTGAGACCTCATCTCTAAAAAAAAAAAACAGAAAGAAAGTAAGTAAAAATTTATCTTTTAGTATCTAACACAGTAACATGACAAACAGCAAACAAAGTGAGAAAGATGCATTACAACACAAAAAGGTGACAATACACAATACTTAGAAATATCCATACCCAATTATCCCCCAGCATTTTTCAGACAGCTGAAAGTCCAGTTATTAAATGTATATTTACAATATTTAAATCTATATAAATAATGCAACTAAACGCATTACTACCTCAACTCAACAATGAGGACTATAAATGAATAAAAACATAGGTGTTAATTTAAAAATAAGAAATCAATGAGTTAGACACAGAAAAAATCAGAAATCATTAAAAATTCCAAACGTTTTTTGTAGAAAAAGATGTATAACTACAAAATAAACTAGTCAAAAAAAAACAGAGAAAAAATTTTTTACACAGAAATGATGTGGGGAGAAAATAAGTATCAAATAGGCAATGTTTAAAAATGTTAAGAGTTTCCTGAAATTTTAAACACCACTATAAGAAAACATGGGGAAAAGGCCCATAACACTAGACTTGGTAATTTTTTTTTGTATAACCCCAAAAGCACGACAACAAAGGCAAAAATAGACAAATGAGATTGCATCAAACTAAAAAGCTTCTGTACAGCAAATGAAACCATTAACAAAGTGAAGACATAATCCACAGAGTGATAGAAAATATTTATGAACCATACATCAGATAGGTGGCTAATATCCAAAATATGTAAGGAATTCAAACAACTTGGTTGGTGCAGTGGCTCACGCCTGTAATCCCAGCACTTTGGGAGGCCAAGGTGGGTGGATCACCTGAAGTCAGGAGTTCAAGACCAGCCTGGACAACATGGTGAAACCCCCTCTCCACTAAAAATACAAAAATTAGTGTGGTGTGGTGGTGCACACCTGTAATCCCAGCTACTTGGGAGGCTGAGGCACAAGAGTCGTTTGAACCTGGGAAGCGGAGGTTGCAGTGAGCCAAGATTGCACCACTGCACTCCAGCCTGGGCAACAGAGTGAGACTCCATCTCAAAAAAAAAAAAAATTCAAACAACTCGACAGCAAGAAAACAAAGAACCCAATTAAAAAAGAAGAAAATTACTTGAACAGATATTTTGCAGAAGACACACAAATGACAAATAGGTTTATTTATTTTTATATTTTATTTTATTTTTATTTTATGTTATTTTTGAGACAGAGTTTTGCTCTTGTTGCCCAGGCTGGAGTGCAATGGAGGATCTCAGCTCACTGCTACCTCTGCCTCCCAGGTTCAAGCAATTCTCCTGCCTCAGCCTCCCGAGTAGCTGGGATTACAGGTGCCCGTCACCATGTCCAGCTAATTTTTAGTATTTTTAGTAAAGATGGGTGGGGTTTCACCATGTTGGCTAGGCTGGCCTTGAGCTCCTGACCTCATGTGATCTGCCCCCCTTGGCCTCCCAAAGTGCTGAGATTACAGACGTGAGTCTCTGCGCCTGGCCAGTATTTGTTTTCTGATTCTGAGTTAATTCATTGAAGATGATGGCCTCCAGCTGCATCTATGTTACTGCAAGGGGCATAATTTTACTCTTTTTTGTTTGCATAGTATTCGATGGTGTACATGTACAATATTTTCTTGATCCAGTCCACCACTGATGGACACTTAGGTTCATTCCATGTCTTTGCTATTGTGCATAGTGTGGTGATGAGCATACAAGTGCATGTGTCTTCTCTATAGAATGGTATATTTTCCTTTGATTGTATACCTAGTAGTGGGATTGCTGGGTTGAATAGTAGTTCTGTTTTAAGTTCTTCGAGAAATTTCCAGACTGCTTTCCACAGTGGCTGAATGAACTTACATTTCTACCAATGGTGTGCAGGCACCCCCTTTTCTCTGCAAACTCTCCAGCAACTGTTATTTTTTGACTTTTTAATAATAGCCCTTCTGACTAGGGTCAGATAGTTTGTGGTTTTAATTTACATTTTGCTGATAAGTAGTGATGAGCATTTTTATGTTTTTGGCTTATCGAATGTCTTATTTTCAGAAGCATTTATGTCCTTTGCCCATTTTTAATGGAGCTGTTTGTTTTTGGTTTATTGATTTGTTCCTTATAGATTCTGGATATTATGGACTAATCCTTATAGATTCTGGAACTTTGCCAGATGCACAGTTGGTAATTGTTTTCTCTGATTCTGTAGATAGTCTGTTTATTCTGTTGATAGTTTCTTTTGCTTTGCAGAAACTCTTTAGTTTATAAATGGTGTATAAATTAATATATATTTAAATGTCTAGCTGAACCTACAAGATAATAGAGGGAATCCCCATGGGAATAAAATAAAGATAATTCTTAAGCTTGGTTGAAATCAAACAGGGACGCCCGGGCTCCTCTGAAGGGATTGGCTGGTACTACCAATGTGAAATGTTGATTTATGTCAATTGTGTAGGTAAAGGGAAAATAACATCAATGTATTTAACCCATTGAATGAAACTGGGACACCTACACAATGCTAATACTTTCAAGGTTTTATACTTTGAGTCAAAAGAGAAGTTGGTAAGCCAGATTACACAATGGAACTATTTCTACCTTGATACTTAAACTCTGAGGGGAATAAAGGACCTGTTGGTTTTGAGTTATATTTATCTGGCATAAATAGTCAAGGAAAACCTAAACCAAGACATTAATTTGAAAATGCCCCAGCTGTAGGGCATGGGGCTTTTGGAAGAAGCAAATACAAATTTTCTTTCTCTTTTTTTTTTTTTTTTTTTTTGAGATAGGGGTCTCTCCATGTTGCCCAGGCTAGTATTAAACTCCTGGGCTCAAGCGATCTTCTCACCTTAGCCTCCTGAGTTTCTAGAATTACAAATGTGTGCCACTGTGTCAAGCTTCCAAATTTTCTTTCCAGTCATCTATCACTGAGACCCTCAGCCTTCTCAAGGAACAAAATGATGTCACTTATGACAATTAAATTACAAAGTAGGCAGCAAACAAGCCAGCAGAATTAATAATTACCAAACCAGAAATTATCAGAATTATACCTTGTGATATGAGATATGAATATCAGATTAAGAGAAAACAAAAATGAATTTAAATTTTTAAAGAGTAAATAGTAGGAGACTAGAAGCATGATGTGGCATATTTGAAAAGTGACTAAATAGAACAACTGCAAACAAAGTTTTTTTTAAAATTGTGTACCCAGAATCAATGAAATGGTTAGATTGCAGTTGATACAGAATTGAAAAAAACTTTTAGTAAAACCAAGCTATTTGGCTGAATAAGTTTCCTAGAATGTGAACTCGAAAACAAAGCAATGTAAAGTATATAAAAGAAGTTACGCGATATAAGGAGTAAAACAAAAAGGTCCAATTAATTAAATTAATGAATTAATGAAGATTAATGAAGAATATTAAATAAGTGTAATATAAAAAATAGAAATATCTGTAGACAGATGCACCAGAGTGTCATAGGAATATCAGCCATAAATCGATAAAAGTTAAAGTTAGCTAGGAGGAGAGGGAACTTTAAGTTACACACACACACGCACACACACACAAACAATATTGTAAATGTCTGTAATTTTCAAAATCAAAAATGGAAGTTGGGACTCAGGGAAATATTTGTTTGAAAGTGTGATGTGAGATTGTCAACATAAAACTGTGTACTTTAACTTTTACAAAAAGGAGAATGAAAGACATTTCAGATCATATGGCAACAGTTCGCCTAAACTGATCTTCAATAAAACAATTTTCAAATAATATAATTCAGGAAAAAAAGAAAATGATTCCAGAAATCTGGCCTGAGATGAGAAAAAAAAGAATAGAACACAAGAAATAAAAAGCCTATGGAAGGCCAGGCGTGGTGGCTCACGCCTATAAGCCCTGCACTTTGGGAGGCCAAGGCGGGTGGATCACCTGAGATCAGGAGTTCGAGACCAGCCTGTCCAACATGATGAAACCTCGTCTCTACTAAAAATACAAAAAATTAGCTGGGCATGGTGGCAGGTGCCTGTAATTCCAGCTACTCCAGAGGCTGAGGCAGGAAAATCGCTTGAACCTGGACCTCCTTGGAGGCTAAGGTGAAAAGATTGCTTGAGCTCAGGAGTTTAATACTAACCTGGGCAACATAGAGAGACCCCTATCTCAAAAAAAAATAAAATTTGTATTTGCTTCTTCCAAAAGCCCCATGCCCTACAGCTGGGGCATTTTCAAATTAATGTCTTTGTTTAGGTTTTCCTTGACTGCTGGGTAAATATAACTCAAAACCAACAGATCCTCCGCTTGAAGGCAGAGGTTGCAGTGAGGCAAAATCATGCCATTGCACTCCAGCCTGGGCAACAAGAGCGAAACTCCATCTCAAAGAAAAAAAAAAAAAGCCTATAGACATATATGATTGATGTATAAAATGTGATCAAATATCTACAAGTGCTTTTCTGCCGTATTATAAAAGTTCCTAAATCAGATGCAACAGAGATTAATAATACCCGTTAAAAATTTACACAGAGACAAAATATCGTGACATTTAAAAACCCTAGGTGATGGCCAATTTCATTTTTAAGTCTTAATTTTCATCACTTCTTTTTAAACATTTATTCTTATTTTCTGACAACTTAGTAAGAAGATCTTAGTCCATTTACTGTTGCTTATAACACAATGCCTGAAACTGGGCAATTTCTAATGAAAAGGAATTTGCTTATTACAGTTATGGAAGGTCCAATATCTCACCAGATGATCAGAGCCTTCTTGCTGGTGGGAATTCTGTAGTGTCCTGAGGCAGCAGACGGCATCATATGGCAAGGAGGCTGAGTGGTCTCTCTTCCTCGTCTTCTAAAGCCACCAGTCCCATTCTCATGACAACCCATTAATTCATGAGTTCATGAATGGATTAACCTCTCATCACTTCTTAGTACTGCCACATTGGCGATTAAATTTCAACATGAGCTTTGGAGGAGACAAATATTTAAACCATAACATTTGCAGAGTCTTGAATATTTGGTTATCAGCATAAATTAGCATCAAAGGACTAATTGCGGCATAGCTATTGGCCACAATAACCTGGAGCCACACTAGCAGAGAATCATTTATCCATGTCACACCTCCTGAAAATGAGAACGTAAAGTCCACCCAGTATGTGAAGACAAAACTCACCAGCAGTAAGATAGCCTGGGAGGCTCTTTTCACTGGTGAGACTCGGGGACAGGCTGGCTGTGTGAAGGCACTGAGATAGCCTCTTATTGTCTGTATAAAATAATCACCATGTAGCCTCTTGAGAGGACCATGAACCCTATAAAGGTGACATCCCTCAAAGTCATTAGTGTGAAAAACAGTCTCCTGTGGGTGTAGCTCATGGGCAAAAAGGAACAGTGCTGTATGACAAACAGAAGACTGGCCCCGTTTCACTGGGGGTAGCCGCAGTGTACAGCAGAAGATTACACCAATGAACATGTTGAGGACCCATGAGAAAAGGAAGAATCCTAAGATGTGACTTGCAGAAGGATGTTTGAGCTTTGCCAAGGAGAAGATGCTGGGGCTGATGATGGCCTGGAGCACACTCAGGAGGCAGGGGGTGCAGATGGAGAGGCCCCTCATCACCTTGTTTAAAAAGACAATGACCTTATACCTAAGATCATCCTGAGTATTCTGTGAACCAAAGAAGTCTAAGGACACCAATATTGCCTGGGTGAAGAGCAGCAGTATGTGGATGAGAGACAGGTGACTAATTATCATGTCAATGGACTTAGACCTGTGACTGAAAACAAAGGTGAAGATGTGGAAAAGAAGAAGGATGGTGTTTGCTGAAATTCCAAAGCTGGCTTGTGGATAAAAGAAGATTTATATGGTAATAAAACCAGGAAGTTTGATCATCTTAGAAGGAAAATTAAAGCAAAGGATATCTGTGGAGAAAAGCAAGAGATCTAATGAGAATAGCATAATTTCTGCCATGTTCTCAATAATAACCAATTTCAACATCTCTATGATCTGGAATCATTAGTTTCTAAACTACAAATATAGATTAAATCTTTATTTTATTTTATTTTTGAGACAGAGTCTCTCTTTGTCACCCAGGCTGGAGTGCAGTGGTGCAAGCTTGGCTCACTGCAACCTCTGCCTCCTGGGTTCAAGTGATTCTCTGGCCTCGGCCTTCTGAGTAGCTGGGATTACAAGCATGTGCTGCCATACTCAGGTAATTTTGTATTTTTAGTAGAGATGGGGTTTCACCATGTTGGCCAGGCTGGTCTTGAACACCTGACCTCAGGTGATCCACCTGCCTCGGCCTCCCAAAGTGCTGGGATTACAGGCATGAGCCACTGCACCTGGCCTATAGCTTAAATCTGAATCATTTATTTCTCACCATCCAAGATACAACTCAATCATGTAATTCTTTATTCTTATTTTATTTATTTATTATCAGTTATTTTTTTAAGTAGAGATGAGGTCTCACTATGTTACCCAGGCTGGTCTCAAACTCCTGAGCTCAAGTGATCCTCCTGCCTCAGTCTCCCAAAGTGCTAGGATTACAGGGATGAGCACGTCTAAGTAAAATTAAAGTACTTAGCCATTTACCCCTCGTGTGTGTGTACACATGTGCTTGTGTGTGTGTATATTTTTTACATTACTTTATTTATATTTATTAATTAACAAGTTGCACCAATAGAATATTAATGTTATAGTTACAAAATCAATATTATATATAATAAATATTTTGAGGAGTCAAAATCACTATAAATGAATATTGCATTATTATTTTATTTCTACACAATGCATAACTTTGCATATACTTAATTTATAACTCTGTTATCATAGGCCATGTGACAAAATTTGTGTATGAAACATACAACTTCACTAAGATTAAAAAAGGTTATTAGGGGCTGGGTGCAGTTATTAGGGGCTGGGATCACACCTGTAATCCCAGCACTTTGGGAGGCTGAGGTGGGCAGATCACGAAGTCAGGAGATCGAGACCATCCTTGCTAACACGGTGAAACCCTGTCTCTACTAAAAATACAAAAAATTAGCCGGGCGTGGTGGCAGGCGCCTGTAGTCCCAGCTACTCGGGAGGCTGAGGCAGGAGAATGGCATGAACACAGGAGGCGGAGCTTGCAGTGAGCTGAGATCGCGCCACTGCACTCCAGCCTGGGCGACGGAGCAAGACTCCATCTCAAAAAAAAAAAAAAAAGATTATTAGGAAACTTTGGAATTCATGAATGAGAACTAATTTCCAAAACCATGGCGCAGACTATCACTTCTTTGGCAAGTGAATTGGATATACGGTTTAGTTCACAGTTCTATCCTGTTACTAGAATGTTTATAATTCAAGGCATCTATGTCATTGTAGACATGAAGTAGGAGGAAGGAGATGGAAAATAAATTGGAGAAGTTCTACCATGAATAGAATGTAATTCTAATGGGAAACTCACATTTCAAACTTCTCTATTTTCCTGATCACTACAAAAATTATGAGAGCAAGTGTTAGGAAGGATGGGAAGAAAAGGAACAGGTTAGACTGTTGGTAGGAATGTAGATCAGTACAACAATTACAGAAAATAGAATGGAGGTTTAAATGTCCATACATACAAAACTAAAAATAAAATTACTATCTATTTCAGCATTTACCTAAAAGATTTGAAATCCCTCCCATGTTCATTACAGAACTATTCACCATAGTCAAGTTATGAAATCAACCTAAGTGTCTATCAACAGACAAATGGATAAAGAAAATGTGGTGTACATAAAAAATGGAGTACTATTCAGCCTTAAAATACAAGGAAACTCTGTCATTTATAACAATACGGATGAACCTGGAGGACATCGTGCTAAGTGAAATAAGCCAGGCACGAAAGACAAATACTTTATGTTCTCACAAAATGTAGAATCTAGAACAATTAAACTCATAGAAACAGATGGTAGGACCATGGCTATAGAAGCTGGGGTACATGGGGAAAGGAAAGATGACAGTCAAAGGGCACAAAATCTCAGTTAGATTGGGGGAATAAGGTTTTTTTACAATGAGATTTATTGCACACTGTAGTAAATATGGTTAATAATGCATTGTAAAATTCAAAATTACTGAGTAAATTTAACATGCTCTCACCATAAAAATGAAAATATTTGAGGTGATGAACATGTTAATTAGCTTGATTTAATTTTCCACATTGTCTTAATAAATTATAACATCACTTTAGACACTATAAACATATAGAATTTTAAACCGTCAATTTACATTTTTTAAATAAGTAAGACTTCTGTTGTTTAAACAATTTGCAAAGTTTATGCCCTGACTTTGTTTGCGCCCGAGGTTAGTGAAAGGGCATAGAATACATTCCCCTTTTCACATTCAGGGCCTTGGAACTGTCAGCTGAAGGAAAACGAACTATTCAAAATCTACAGTCCAGGTCTCAGGTTCATTCTAAATTCAATCTGTCCTTGTATTAGTTCATTTTGTGTTACTATAAAGGAAAACCTGAAGCTGAGTAATTTATAAAGGAAAGAGGTTTATTTTGGCTCACAGTTATGCAGGCTGTACAAGAAGCATAGTGCCAGCATCTGCTTCTGGTGAGGCCTCAGGAAGCTTCCAATCACGCTGAAAGGGGAAGGGGAGCAGGCATGCCACATGAGTGAGAGAGAAAACAAGTGAGGGAGGAGGTCCCAGACTCTAACAACCAGGTCTCATATGAACTGATTACCATAGGAAGGGCACCAAGCTATTCATGAGGAATCGGCCCCCATGACCAAAACACCTCTCACCAAGCCCCACCTCCAACACTAGGAAGCACATTTCAACATGAGATATTGAGGGGACAGACATCCAAATTATATCCTTAATGTGATCAGACGGCACACATTTTCAGGGAAAGAAGGAGGACTTTTTCCACTTTTAATAAGTATAAGGAGGCTCTGAAATTTTATCCATGCATGGCTTTAAATGTAGATTTTCTCCTATTCAGATTTCCTGAGATTTTATGCTTCACTTCCTGGGAGACAGGAAAGACAAATCTTTGCCATATTGACTTTGTTCTTTTATTCATCTTACTTATGGTCCTACTATAATTTTATTATCCTTTGAAAGCAACTAATTATACAGAATATGATGGACATATCGTAAACCACTCGTTGTCATTTGTGGCAAATTATCTGACTTTTTTGTGAACTGCATTTTTGATGAATGAATTATAATTTGAGACTTTGAAAGAAAGTGCATTATAAATTTACTGATAAAGTGTTTTTAACAAGAGGTAGAAAACATTTGAACTATTTACTCTTATCTATTAATACAATTAACTGAGACTGCTATAAAATATGTTCTCACTCACATCTTGAGACTTTGGATAATTAAAACAGTAAAACTGAAAGAATTTTTAATAAGATACAAAAATGAGGCTTTATATTATCTTCTAATAAAATATGAGTCACATTTCTAAGTGTAAAATCAACTAAATCACCAAGCAAAAGATGACAGTTCCAGATATATGTCAGATATATTAAAAAGGCATTGTCTAATTACAGTGATTAAAAAGATGACAAGATAGTCATCTGTTAAAATGTATTACCCTATGCAATTAAAAAGAACCAAGCACTATTATGTGACAAAATTAAAATAATCCTGCTACTTTTCTTTTTCTACATGATATCTTTAGGACATTTCAAATAAAATAAAAATACCCTAAATTTCAAAGAACTTCAAAATAAAAACTATAAAAGACAAAGAAGTTCACTGTATTATGATAAAAGACCAATTCAGCAAGAGGATGTAACAATTTTAAATACATATGCACCCAACACTGGAGCACCCAGATATATACAGCAAACGTTATTAGACCAAAAGAGAGAGACAGACAATACTACAATAATAGGGATTTCGACACCCCACTTTCATTATTAGACAGATCTTCCATACAGAAATCAACCAAAAAATCAGACTCAATTTGCACTGTAGACCAAGAGGACCTAACACATATTTGCAGAACATTTTATCCATTGGCTGCAGAATACACATTCGTTTGCTCAGCACATGGATCATTCTCAAGGATAGGCCATATGTTAAGTCACAAAACAAGTCTTAAAACATTCAGAAGAGTTGAGATAATGTTAAGCATCTTCTCTGACCACAATGGAATAAAACAAGTAGAATTTTGAAAACTATACAAATACGTGGAAAATGAACAATATGCTCCGGAATGACAGTGGGTCAAAAAAGAAATTGTGAAGAATATTGAAAAATTTCTTGAGACAAATAATAATGGAAACACAACATACCAAAACCTATGGGATACAACAGAAGCAGTGCTAAGAGGGAAGCTTATAGCTGTAAGTGACTGTAAGAAAAGAGAAGGAAAACTTTTAATAAAAAATTTAATGATAGATCTTAAAGAACTAGAAAAGCAGGAACAAACCAAATCCCAAATTAGTGAAAGAGAAAACAAAGATCAGAGCAGAAATAATTAAAATTGAAATAATTAATACAATACAAAAGATGAACAAAAATGTTGTCTTTTGAAAAGTCAAACAAAATGACAGACATTTAGCCAGACAAACTAAGAAAAAAAAAGAGAGACTATATAAATAAATAAAATCAGACATGAAAAAGGAGACATTACAAATAATTTGCAAAATTCAAAGGATCATTAGTGGCTACTATGAGAAACTATATGCCAATAAATTGGAAAATTTAGAGAAATGGACAAATTCATAGACACATACTGCCTACCAAGATTGAATGATGAAGAAATCCAAAACCTGAACAGACCAATAACAAGTAACAAAATCAAAGTCGTTATAAAAAGCCTCCCAGTAAAGAAAAGCCTGGAACCCAATGGCTTCACTGCTGAATTCTACCATTTAAAGAAGAACTAATACCAATCCTACCCAAATCCTATTTCAAACAATAGAGCAGGTGGGAATACTCCCAAACTCATTCTACGAGGCCAGTATTACACTGATAGAAAAACCAAAGACACATCAAAAAAGAAAACTGCAGGCCAATATCTCTGATGATTATTGACGCAAAAACCTTCGACAAAATGCTAGCAAACTGAATACAACAATACATTAGAAAGATAATTCATCATGATCAAGTGGTATTATTCCCTAGGATGCCAGGATGGTCCAATATATGCAAATCAATCAATGTGATACATCATATCAACACAATGAAGGAAAACATAATTATTTCAATTGATACTAGAAAGCATTTGACAAAATTTAACATTCCTTCATAACTTTCAAAAAACTGGGTATAGAAGGAAGAACGTAATAAAAGCCATATGTGACAGACTCACAGCTAATATACCAAATGGAGAATAACTGAAAGCTTTTCCTCTAAGATCTGGAACACAACAAGGATGCCCACTTTCACCACTGTTATTCAATATGGTATTGGAAGCTCTAGCTAGAACAATCAGACAAAAGAAGGAAATAAAGGGCATTCAAATTGGAAAGGAAGAAATCAAATTATCCTTTTTGCAGATGATATAATCTTATGTTTGGCAAAACATAAAGACTTCACTAAAAAGTTATTATAACTGGTAAATGCAGTAAAGTTGCAGAATACAAAATCAGCATACAAAAATCAGTAGCATTTCTATGGCTGGGCACGGTGGCTCATGCCTGTAATCCCAGCACTTTGGGAGGCCGAGGTGGGTGGATCACAAGGTCAGGAGATCGAGACCATCCTGGCTAACACGGTGAAACCCCATCTCTACTAAAAATACAAAAAAATTAGCTGAGCGTGGTGGCGGGTGCCTGCAGTCCCAGCTACTCGGGAGTCTAAGACAGCAGAATGGCGTGAACCCGGGAGGTGGAGCTTGCCATGAGCCGAGATCGCGCCACTGCACTCCATCGTGGGCGACAGAGCAAGGCTCTGTCTCCAAAAAAAATAAAATAAAATAAAAAATGAGTAGCACTTCTTTATGCCAACAGTGAACAATTTGAAAAAGAAATAAAAAATAGGAATCCCATATACAGCAGCCAGAAATAAAGTTAAATACCTGGAATTAACCAAAAAAGTGAAAGATCTGTATAATAAAAACTGTAAAACACTGATGAAAGAAATTGAAGAGGACACCAAAAAATGGAAAGATATTTCATGTTCATGTATTGGAAGAAACAATACTGTTAAAATGTTTATACTACCCAAAGCAATCTACAAATAAAATGCAATCCCTGTCAAAATACCAATGAAATGCTATACAGAAATAGAAAAAACAATCCTGAAACTTATATGAAACCACAAAAGATCCGGAATAGCCAAAAGTATCCTGAACGAGAAGAACAAAACTGGAGGAACCACGTTACCTGACTTCATGTTACACTACAGAGCTGTAATAACCAAAAACAGCGTGGCACTGGCATAAAGGTAGACACATAGACCAATAGAACAGAATAGAGAACTCAGAAATAATTCCACATACCTACAGTAAACTCATTTTCAACAAACATGCCAAGAATACATATACACTGGGGGAAAAGACTGTCTCTTCATTAAATGGTGCTGAGAAAACTGGATATCCATATGCAGAAGAATGGAACTAGACCCCTCTCCTTCACCATATATAAAAATAAAATGAAAATGGACTAAAGACTTAAATCTAAGACATTAAACCGTGAAACAACTACCAGAAAATACTGGAGAAAATCTCCAGGACATTGATCTGGGCAAAAATGTTTTGAGCAATACCCCACTAGCACAGGTAACCAAAGCAAAAATAGACAAATGAGATCACATCAAGTTAAAAAGTTTCTGCACAGCAAATACAATCAACAAAGTTAAGAGACAACCCACAGAATAGGAAAAAATATTTGCAAACCACCTATCTGACAAGGAGTTAGTAACCGTAATCTATAAGGAGCTCAAACAACTCTATACAAAAAAAAACTAATAATTTGATCAAAAGATGGGCAAAAGAGTTGAATAACCATTTCTCAAAAGAAGACATACAAATGGAAAATAAGCATATGAAAAGGTGCTTGGCCGGGCGCGGTGGCTCACGCCTGTAATCCCAGCACTTTGGGAGGCCAAGGTGGGCAGATCACCAGGTCAGGAGATCGAGACCATCGTGGCTAACATGGTGAAACCCCGTCTCTCCTAAAAATACAAAAAATTAGCTGGGCGTGGTGGCGGGCGCCTGTAGTCCCAGCTACTTGGGAGGCTGAGGCAGGAGAATGGCATGAACCCGGGAGGCGGAGCTTGCAGTGAGCCAAGATTGCCCCACTGCACTCCAGCCTGGGTGAGAGAGCAAGACTCTGTCTCAAACAAAAAAAAAAAAAGAAAAAGAAAAGAAAAGGTGCTCAACATCATTGATTATCAGAGAAATGGAAGACAAAACTACAGTAAGATATCATCTCACTCCCATTAAAATGGTATATATCCAAAAGACAGGCAATACAAAATGCTGGCAAGGGCATGAGAAAAGGGAACCCTTGTACACTCCAGTGGGAATATAAATTTGTACAACCATTATGGAGAATGGTTTGAAGGTTCTTCAAAAAAAACTACAAACTGAGCTAACATGTGATCCAGCCGTCCCACTGAAAGGAAGTCAGATATCAAAGGGATATCTTCAGTCCCATGTTTGTTGCAGCCCTTTAACAATAGTCAAGATTTGGAAGCAACCTAAATGTCCATCAACAGATGAATGGATAAAGAAAATGTGGTACATATACACAATGGAGCACTATTCAGCCATCAAAAAGAATAAGATCTTTTTTAAAAAATTTTTTTATTATTATACTTTAAGTTTTAGAGTACGTGTGGACAATGTGCAGGTTAGTTACATATGTATACATGTGCCATGCTGGCATACTGCACCCATTAACTCGTCATTTAGCATTAGGTATATCTCCTAATGCTATCCCTCCCCACTCTGCCCACCCCACAACAGTCCCCAGAGTGTGATGTTCCCCTTCCTGTGTCCATGTGTTCTCATTGTTCAATTCCCGCCTATGAGTGAGAACACGCGGTGTTTGGTTTTTTGTCCTTGCGATAGTTTACTGAGAATGATGATTTCAAAAAGAATAAGAATAAGATCTTGTCCTTTGCAACAACATGGATGGAACTGGAGATCATTATATTAAGTGAAATGATCCAGGCACAGAAAGACAATGTACATTCTCACTTATTTGTGGGATCTAAAAATGAAGACAATTAAACTCATGAAGATAGAGAGTAGAAGGATGGTTATCAGAAGCTGGGAAGGGTAGTGAGGGGTTGGGAGGGAAGTAGGGGTAGATAATGGGTACAAAAAATAGTTAGAAAGAATGAATAAGACCTACTCTTACATGGCACAACAGGGTGACTATCGGCAATAATAATTTAAATGTGCATTTAAAACTAACTAAAATAGTATAATTGGATTATTTGTAACACAAAGGATAAATTTTTGACAGGATGGCTACTCCATTCTCCATGATATGATTATTATGCATTGCATGCCTGTACAAAACATCTTATGTTCCCCATAAATATATACACCTATTATGTACCCACAAAAATTAAAAATGGTAAAAAAATTCATTGATAACTACACTGGGGGCTCCCATGTATGTGATATTTTTTACATCATGGTGATATCAGAATTTCCTTTTTTTCTTTGATTTTGAGAGATTTTTCTTAATACTTCTAGGTGAGCTATTCTTTGGCTTGAGTTTAATTGAATATCACTGAGATTCTTATGCCTAGATGCTCATATCTTTTCCCATATTCAGAAATTTTTAACCATAATTTCTTTTTTTTTTCAAGGAAGGGCCTTGCTTTGTCCCCCAGGCTGGAGTACAGTGGCACAATCATAAGTCACTGCTGCCTTGACCTCCTGGGCTCAAGCAATTCTCCCACCTCAGCCCCCCAAGTAGCTGGGACTACAGGCATGCACCACTATGGCTGGCTAATTTTTAAATTTTTTTATAGATGGCTTTCACTATATTGCCTATGCCAATCTCTAACTTTTGGGCTCAAGCATTCCTCCCACCTCAGTGTCCCAAAGTGCATGAGCCTCTGCATCTGGCCTTAACCATCTTAAAAAATTTTTTTTTAATTTATTTTTTGTAGTGACAAAAATTAAATTTATTAGAATATCTTATTTAAAATTTACATTACTTATAAAATAATATAATATATAGTTATTATTTTAATAAATTTTTAACAATATATATTATAATGATATAAATTTATCAAAATTTTTATTAAAAATATATTTTTGGAGTTGCCCAGGCTGCTCTGGAACTACTGATCTTGGATGGTCCTCATGCCTCAGCATCCCTAAGTGCTTGGATTATAGGCATGAACCACCCTGTCTGGCCCATAATTTTTAAAAGTAAGCTTTTTGTTTATTTCTCTCTTTCTCTTTTCCTTCTGAACTCCTATTATGCAAGTATTAGCTCTCTTGATAGTATACTATAGATCCTGTAGGTTTTCTTCATTCATTTTTATTCTTTTTGCTTTTTGATTCTCTCATTAGATAAATTCAAATGTTCTTTCTTCAAGCTCATGGATTATTTCTTTTGTTTAATCAAGTCTGCTATTGGAGGTTTCTATTGAATTTTTTACTTCTGTCATCTTATTCTTCCTTTCTAGGATTTCTATTTGTTTTATTGTTTCTATTTATTTTTTCAATCTTCTCCTTTTCTTTGTGTCATATTTTCCTAATTCCATTTAGTTTTCTTTTCTCTTTTTTTTAATCACTCAGTGAACTTCTTTAAGGGATTCCATTCTTAGTTCATAGATCTTAATTTTTAAACAATCTATTATTGGACCTTTATTAGTTTCTTTTGGTAGTGTCATATTTTACTGATTCTACATAATCTTTGTGTCCTTGTGTTGGTGTCTGTCATTTTAAAACCATGGCCACATCTCCCAGTCTTCCCATGTGTTCTTTCATGGGACTAGTCCTTTACTGTTTATTCTAACCTGGGTTCTGGATGGCTCAAATGGCAGTGACCATGGACAGGAGGAGGTTGCTGTCACATTCTCTCTTTGGGCTGGGTTGCGGCCTGTGCTCTGAGATCAGCTAAAGCTTCTGGCTGGGCTGTGAGGTCTGGTGAAATCAGTAGCTGGGCTCTTCAGTCAGGAGGAGCTGTGGACTGGGCTCTGCTGTCACCTTTATAAAGGAGGGTCTCAGGCTGTGGCTCCAGGCTGAGTGGTATTACTCTTTGGATCTTGCAGTTGGGCAAGGCTCAGAAATTGGGTGGAATTATTGCTCAGCCACTAGAAATGGGCAAGGAGGTACTCCAGAAATAAGAATGGTCTTGGGCTTGCCTCCTTGCCCAGGGAAATCTTACACTGTATTCGGAGACTGGGTAGCATTATTGATTGGACATTTTTAAGATTGACTGGTATATAGGGTGAGTTTGACATTTGCTTTTCATCTATGTTATTACACACACAATATTAATATTCATACTCTTTTTTAAGTAACACTGAGAGTGGGATAATGAACATTTATATATGGAAAGCATTAGTTCTTTTTTTCGACTAGGCTTTGCTATGATGCACAGGCTGGCCTCAAATTTTTGGGCTCAAGTGATCCACCTGCCTCAGCCTCCCAAGTACCTGGGACTACAGGCATGCACCATGGCACTCAGCTGCATTAATTCTAGTCAATATTTATTTTGATGTCCAAATGTCCCCAGATTGGGCTGGGCACGATGGTTTATGCCTGTAATTCCAGCACTTTGGGAGGCCAAGGTGGGAAGATCACTTGAGACCAGGAGTTTGAGACCAGCCTGAACAACATGGTGAAACCCCATCTCTACAAATAAATAAATAAATACAAAAATCAGCTGGGCGTGGTGGTGCACACCTGTAATCCCAGCTACTTGGGAGACTGAGGCAGGAGAATCACTCAAACCTGGGAGGCGGTGGTTGCAGTGAGCCAAGATGGCACCACTGCACTCCAGCCAGGGCAACAGAGTGAGATTCTGTCTCAAAAAAAACAAACAAACAATAACAAAAATGTCATCCCCAATTTACCCTTGGAAGCCCCTAAATTCTGTCTTGTCTATCTTTTTGATGAAATCTCACTCATCTTGTAGTGCTTTCTTGCTTTTTGACAAAGGCCCATTTTATATATTTCCTACTCAAGACCAAAGAATCATGGTTAGGCTTATATGGAAATAGGTATTTAGAAATCAAAATCTGGCTGTAAGGGAAAGACACATACTGCATAATCTCACCTATATATGAAGGATCTAAAATGGACTCACAGAAGTTGAGAATAGAATGATGGCTGTCAAGGGCTGGATGGAGGAGGAAATGAAGAAGTAATGGTTAAATTGTACAAAGTTATAGTTATGCAAGATAAATAAATTCTCAAGATATATAACTT